>NC_000008.11:3687420-3989706 GCF_000001405.40 Homo sapiens | reverse complement strand
TTCTGATTCGAATCTCTTTAGAGTATCACAGTATCGTTTCTTAATAAACATATACATCATAAAGACTTTAATTTTTTTTGAATTATAAATTTAAAATAGATGGCACCTGAGAAATCTCTTAATGCAATCCCTTTCTTGTTTGGGGAAAAAGGAACTGCATCATAAATAGATCATGTGCTTTATCCTACCCTGTGGAGTATTATTAGTTGGCTAGAAGAGAATCCAGGTTTTTTGTCTGTGTTACCACAACTCGTTCCAGCATGCTAAGAAGCCGCTCTTACCTAGCTTGGAGAGTGTTGGGCAATGTCCTCTGTCGTTTTTTCATTACCTTTCTATCAGCAGGCCATAAAAGCATAGTTGCTAAGCCAAGATGACTGATTCAGACCTCGGTTTGAGTGAGACTTAGGCTGTAGTCTTGGTTTTATGACTTCTGAGCTTGATGACGTAGAGCAGGTTTGCTCTGGAAGTCCCAGATCACTGTCTGTAAAATAGAAGTGATTGCCACATCCCTGAGAGAGCTGCTAACTAGAGCAAATGAGCAGACGCTTGGAAAACCCTTAGCAAAATGCCCGCCCCACATAGCAATTTCTATAACTAGCTGCACGTTTACTGCTGTAAGAAACAGTGCCATAGAGAGTTCAGATTTCTGCCCTACAATGAAAAAGAAAAACTTTTTGAAATAGAATGTGTTTTGAACAATGGTTTTTACCTGTATCTAGTTCTAAAAGTCTATGTTCAGCAAATAACCTTCAAATTTTTTGAGTTATAAAAGCTGTTAACTTCTCCACTCAACTTTTAAAACATTGATCTTACTTTGGTTATGAATTGTGTGACAATAACAACAGTAATAATATCACTTTAAAGGAAAAAATAGGACCTAAATGATGACCCTTCCTTGTTGTTTGGAAATATAATTGACCATAATCAGCATTGTTTCACATTCAGGGCTGTTTTTGTATATGTCCGTCAACTTTGTGAATGAAAATCAAAATGCTATCCTGGTTTAGATCCTGTATATCACTTAGTAAAAATGAAATGTGATAACAGTGGAATTTTGACCGAAGTACATATTTATCTATTAAACGTTCCTCTCCAGCTGTCATGTGCACAGGACTCACTGGAGATCTTTTCAAAATGCAGACCGTGATCTAGCAGTTCTGGAGTGAGTCCAGAGATTCTCTGTTTCTGACAATCGTTCAGCTCTGGTTGGTGCTGCTGTTCCGTGCTCCAGAGCCTGAGCTGTGAGAGGTTAGGGTGTTTGTGAGTGGCGTACATATTTGACAAACACAGACCTAAAACCATAACTAATTATCATTCATAATAATTTCAGGTTTTCCTCCAAACTGAAAAACATTGCAGTAGTTATGCTATTTCAGAATTTGATGCAAGCTCTTTTGTCTCTGTTGAAATCCTGTGTGATGTTTATAATGGCCTTCTGGGACAAGATGGAGATGATCCAGAAAGCCGAGGTTCAATATTGAGTTTCAGATTTAGGATTCACAGACTCACCAGGGTCTTACTGCTTAGAGACTCTGATTTAGTTTTCTGAACCAGCCCAACTGCCCAGCAGATGACTATGAATAAGAGGTGACATCAAAAGGGTATAAAAAAATCACAATATTTCAACAGCTTCCCTATGTTTTTAGGCACAGTAGTGTTTCCAAATCTATTAATAGCTGTGTGTTGAAAGTAAAATCATTTTGAGCTCTTTTCAAGAAAATTGAGTTAAAAAGTTGAGCAGTTTCCTTTGTTGTGGATTTCTCAGTCCTTTGATGTGAGACCATTCGGTGTGACTCTCAGAGATCAGGTAGAAGATGTTGCAATGTGCCAAACAGATTGGACCCTGAACCATTTCTTTTTGGCAGGCTGTCAATTAACATCTGGAACTATGGGTTTGGATAAGGCTATGCTTCTTGACGTGGCGCAGAGCCTGCTTTGGCCTGAGTCCTGTCAATATTTACATTCCATTTTGCACTTTATGCTGCTAGTGACCTCGTTCCACCTTGCAGTTTCCTGTTTTCAATCCATTTTCTCTGTCTGGGAACTGTCTCTTCTGCTTTATCAGCAAAGCCCTACTCATCCTTCACAGTTCTCAGAATTGGCCTTAGAGTGAGAAGAACGAGGAATTAAAAATGGTGTTCCTCCCCTTCGTAGCTGCACCATTTGGGCTAGAGTCAGACTCCCAGATTTTTGGTTTCCTGACTTTAAAAAGGAGATTAAAGATACTCATCTAGCTGGGTGAATATGAAAGTAAAAGTCAGAAACCTACCACTGTACCAGGAACGGAGACAGACAACCCCTGTATCCATTAGTCGTTATCATGGCATATGTGATAAACAACAAATAAGCAATGCAGTTGCAAAGATGCTGTCGGTACTTGGAGGAGAAAGAAAGCACTGCTCAGTGAGGTCATCACAGAACATGTTACAGAAACACTGGGCTGTGTGTAGCCTTTGAGCATGGGAAGCATGTTCACAGGAAGAGTGCGTGCTGCTGTTGTGGGCACGGTGTGTGTAAAGTAAGAAGTGTATATACTGGATTGCTTTCTCCCATAGAACTCGGATAGACGCTGTGTGTGTAAATACATTCCAGTAAGTTGGGAGAAAGGAACCCATCGTTTTCACAAAATGATAGAAATCACTTTAACATTTTGGATGGATGCGGTGATTCACGTCTGTAATCCCAGCACTTTGGGAGGCTGAGGCAGGTGGATTATTTGATGTCAGTAGTTCAAGAACAGCCTGAACTGCATGGTGAAACGCCCTGTATACTAAAAATACAAAAATTAGCTGGGCATGGTGGCGTGCACCTGCAATCCCAGCTACTTGGGAGGCTGAAGCAGGAGAATTGCTTGAACCTGGGAGCAGAGATTGCAGTGAGCCGAGATCGCATCACTGCATTCCAGCCTGGGCAACAGGGTGAGACTCCATCTAAAAAA
Source organism: Homo sapiens (assembly GCF_000001405.40). Taxonomy (NCBI): domain Eukaryota; kingdom Metazoa; phylum Chordata; class Mammalia; order Primates; family Hominidae; genus Homo; species Homo sapiens. The sequence continues at coordinate 3,986,768 of NC_000008.11, read as the reverse complement.
AAAGAAAAATCACTTAAACATTGTAAAAGCAGGCCTTTGAGCAAAACTGAAACATGATAAATTTTCCATGGTAAAATGCTTGTAAAATGTTCACTCTGTCCCTCATATCTCATGGTATAAGGAAAGCAGTACTTTAGGAAAATCATGATTTAGGTATGTTGCATGGCTTGGGAAAAAATAAATAATTAGAAAGTTGAAAGATTAAGATACTTATAATTTATACGGGTCTGCTGATCATGGGAGTAGAAAAAGAAAGGAGAAGGATCTTGCTTTTGGTAGCCAGGGAAGTCAGTTGCTCGGCTTTGCACATGGCTATACCCTGATATTTCAGATTTCACCTTGAAGTGGAAACGTATTCAACAGTGAAATGTCCAGGGCCTGTGGTTAGGAAGGTTGGCTGGGGGTGTCTCAGTGCTCAGGGATCTACATTTCAATGAACACCCTAGAAGGGTTTTCACTGAGCTTTTAGAAACATAGGGAAGGATTGTAGAGAGAATGTTGATGCCCTCAGCCAGGCGAGGGAAGTTATAAAGCTCTTCCTCCATCTGGTGTCTTTGCACCATCTCAGGACCGAGGGGCAGCTTAAAATAAAAGGGCTCTTTGGAGAGACTTTAAGGTGATGCCTTCAAGTCACTTGAGAAATCCTGTTCATCTGAACTTGTAGCTCCCAGATACGAACGAGATCCTTGATTTTTGGATGGGGTCTTCATATAATGAAGAGGAAAAGACAGGGCTTTGAGATAGCAAAGAGAAGCAGGGGAGTGGGTGGGGCCTGGCTTAAATGGGAGTCAGAGGACAGCCAGGGAAACTTTTAGGCTAGAATTAGAAAAAAAAATTGAGTTATGCAAAATGGTTTGAAATGTTCAAAGTAAGAGTGCACGATGAATTGGGAAGAAAAATTATCTGATGCTCAGACAGACCTAGGGTACAGTCTCAGCATTGAAGAATGCTGTCTCACCCTGTCCAATCTGGGCGACAGGGTGAGACTCCATCTCAAAAAAAAAAAAAAAAATCACTTTAACATTTTAAAGGCAGCCTTTTTAATCTAACTTCTTGAATCAAGTTGTTACTTGATTCTTGGAGGTTGTAATGAGAATTCTAGCATCAACCTAGCAAGCTTCTGTGAGTGCAACGGTTCTGCCGTGCAAGGATCTTCCTGTACTAGAAGGTGGCGCCCCTTCAAATAAAGTGAAACTGTTATTATTCCATAGTAGAGCAATCCATGGAGTAAAATGATGTGTTCGTTGTATCTGGCTCTTGAAACATTTGGGATGGAGACTTCTGAGCAGCAATTATGTTCTAAAATGTGTGAGTGTGCACGCCCAGGTGTGTTTGTGTGTGTGTGCACATAAGACTAGACAAGAGGGTAGATGTATATTCATTTACTTTCTATGGAAGAAAGGAAAACAAAACAATGCAATCTGTAACCCTAATAAACGAAAACATATATGCCTGCTTTAAAAATAATTTATTATCTGCAAATGTGCTTTGTGCATGGTGTGGGAAATTTGTAAAGCATGAAATGGGACTTCAATTTATAACCCGTCAATGCTTCTCAGATACCTTCTAGTTTACCACAAACTGTGAGAAGGGACAAGGAAGGCTCAGCTGGCATCCATCACACCCTCTCCTGAAGTACATGATCTATGGTGTAATTCTTCATGACAAGTCCCCCCTAAGTAACATAAAAGCCACAGTGTTTTTGAAAGCTAAGAACATGAGCACAGTAATCAAAATGTGGTCAGAGCCACCTTATGAGATCCGTGATTTTCCCAGTATCGGAATAATCCATCTTTCCCAAGTCTTCACCAAATTCTAAAGTGTTAATTTTAAAGGCTTATAATGAACTACAATGAAGCTTGAAATAAAGTATTCGTTTTATGGACATAGATTCAAACTTTCTCTTCATTTCTGGCTTTCTTCTTGCTCCTTTTTCTCTTCCATTCCCTCTAGTTTTTTGTGTGTGTGATCTCCCTTTACACCCACACACACACACACACGCACAAATACATACAAATATATATATATATATATATATATATATATATATATATATATATATATGATATATACACTGAATCCTGAACCCATAAATCATTCTGTTTTCATAAAACACAAGTAACAAGCCTTGGCATTTTGTTCAAATGAAACCCCTAGCTGTATTTTTTCTTACTTGAAGAATCCAAATATTGTACTTGGCTATATATATATTTTTTAATATACCTAGACGAAAAATCAAAATAGTGTACTTATTACTGCTGGATTCAAAATGAGCTAGTCATTATTTAATGCTGCTTTACCTTATAGAAACATATATCAATGTGCCTCTCTGTTTAGGTTTGTTATCTTAGAACCAAAAGTACTCACCAGTTTAGAATTGAAAAGTCTAAATAGGAAAACAGAGACTCATGATCTGTCGTCAGCATTTTCTTTTGGCAGTGGATCGAAATTTGGCTCAGTAAACTCTGTGCATGTGTGACATTTTATTGGGGACATCAATGTGACATTTGAAGTTAAGCTTGCCACTCGCTTTGCAGGATGGCTTCACTGTGCAGGTGGCTGGGTGCAAGCGCAGTCTGAGAGGTTCCTGACCTGAATTTTCTGCGATGTGCTCTAGAGCTGCAATTGACAGCCCCATCAGATCTGCTGTGTGCTCTAGAGTTGCTATTGACAGCCCTGTTAGATCTGTGGTGTGCTCTAGAGCTGCAATTGACAGCCCCATCAGATCTGCCGTGTGCTCTAGAGCTGCAATTGACAGCCCCATCAGATCTGCCCTGTGCTCTAGAGCTGCAATTGACAGCCCCATCAGATCTGCAATGTGCTCTAGAGTTGCAATTGACAGCCCTGTCAGATGTGCGGTGTGCTCTAGAACTGCAATTGACAGTCCCATTAGATCTGCTGTGTGCTCTAGAGTTGCAATTGACAGCCGGCCAGATCTGCCAGGTGCTCTGGAGCTGCATTTGACAGCCCCATCAGAACTGCGACGTGCTCTAGAGGTGCAGTTGACAGCCCCATCAGATGCTACCAGACTAGGGGAACATCTAACCATACTTAGCAATGGCCCCCAATCCATGGGATTAGAACTTGTCCTGAAAATACACTCCACATGATCTCTATCATGATACACGTGGGCTATGGTTTGAAAAATACAGTTTGATAAATGGGGTTTATGAAAAAATAAAATAGAAACATCAAAAACAAAATTGGGGCTGTCCTTCTCCACGGCACTGAAATGGCATCCAAGGGCAGTTTCCTGTCCCAAGTCCTGTAAGTATATTTTCCTCATGACTTGATATCTACCCTGGTGACTTATAGGTAATTTTAGATGTGGGAGGCTGCGGCCGGGCGCGGTGGCTCACGCCTGTAATCCCAGCAATTTGGGAGGGCAAGAAAGAGGGATCACGAGGTCAGGAGATGGAGACCATCCTGGCCAACACGGTGAAACCCCATCTCTACTAAAAATACAAAAAATTAGCCGGGCGTGGTGGTGGGCGCCTGTAGTCCCAGCTACTCGGGAGGCTGAGGCAGGAGAATGGCGTGAACCCGGGAGGTGGAGCTTGCAGTGAGCTGAGATCGCGCCACTGCACTCCAGCCTGGGTGACAGAGCGAGAGTCCGTCTCAAAAAAAAAAAAAGAAAGAAAGATGTGGGAGGATGCATAACGATGTCTGAGGCGTTTTACATCATTAGAGGCTCCTGGGGAAAAGAGTCAGCCAACTTGGATTGGGATCCCGGCCCCATGATTTATCCCGCTGTGCTGTCTTGGGCTACTAACTAGCTCTAGGGGCCCTATTTGTCGTTTGTTTGTTTGTTTGTTTTGTTTTTCATCTGCAAAGTGCATATAACAATATCTATTTTTCAAAGTTATTGTAAAGGCAAGGGTAGGAAACGCTAATGGTTTAGCTTTGTCCTTGGTATGCGTAGAGCTGCAATGATGAAAGTGACCATCGTGCTCCCCTCAGAATCCTCCAGCGGATTCTTGCCCTCGTTCTGGCCCTGTCCATTATCTGTGGGCAGCTCCTTCCACGTTAAGCCTCCTACAGATGCCGGGTGCTTCCCTCTGCCTCCTGATCTTATGAGGCTTCCGGTCCGCCACCCTGGTCTCAGATCTGCCCTATCTTTGCCCCACATAATTTAATGGCTTTTTTTTTTTCTCTCTCAGCAGTACTTCATAATAGTAGTGAAATTCTAAATGACTAGGCGCATAATTCTAGTGCACATAATCCTAGTGCACATAATTCTAAATGGTATGCACATAATTTATGATGCGTTATTTTTCTGGTCCTTATGGAGTATATACTAATAGTAATCATGTGAGTTAAGATCTTTCTATTAATTCCATGTCTTATTGTGCTTTCCATATATTAGCTCATTTAATTTTCCTAACAACCATGGAGGTTTGTACAAGGATTATCCTCATTTTGCAGGTGAGAATATTGAGGCAGAGAAGGATTGTGTAATTTATGCTGTATCACACAACTCAGGAATGTAGACCAGGATTTAAATCCCAGCATTCTTAAGTTTTAGCTCAGATTGTAGTTAATTCTAACTAGTTTATTATTATTATTTTTTTTATTAATATTATTATTATTATTATTATTATTATTATTTTTGAGATAGAGCCTCGCTGTGTCACCCAGGCTGGAGTGCAGTTGTGCAATCTCGACTCACTGCAACCTCCACCTCCCAGGTTCACCCCATTCTCCTGCGTAGCTGGGATTACAGGCGACCGTCACCGCGCCAGGCTAATTTTTTGTATTTTTAGTAGAGACGGGGTTTCACCGTGTTAGCCAGGATGGTCTCAATCTCCTGAACTTGTGATCCACCTGCCTCGGCCTCCCAAAGTGCCGGGATTACAGGCAATTGTAACTAGTTCTGTATGACAGGAAACTTCACAGATAAAGCTGCATTACTCCCTGCAGCAAGTGCACGCCCTCCTGCTGACTCACTGAAAAGTGAGGCTCTGCTAACTGCCTCTTCTCTTGACTTTGTGAAGCGCACAGCCTGTCGGACGGCAGGGTCTCCAAGCACGTTTATTAAATGTAGGACTGAAGAAATCAAATACAAAAGAGCCTTTCTTTGGGGCACAATTAACGTCAAAGAAGGAAACTATGACAAGAGACATAATTAAAAGACAACTCAAAGGGAACAATACTGCTCTAATTGATACAATTTAAAGGAAAAATTATGAGTGATGTGATGGAACACGGTGTGGAAAGACTTAGGTAAACACAATTGTATGTTCTTTTTTTTTTTTTTTTTTTTTTTTTACTTTTTTCTATAAGTTATTGGAGTACAGGTGGTATTTGGATACATGAGTAAGTTCTTTAGCGGTGATTTGTGAGATCCTGGTGCACCCATCACCTAAGCAGTATACACTGCACCATATTTGTTGTCTTTTATCCTTCACCCCCCTTCCACTCTTCCCCTGAAGTCCCCAAAATCCGCTGTTATCATTCTTTTGCCTTTGTGTCCTCATAGCTTAGCTCCCACATATCAGTGAGTACATACGATGTTTGGTTTTCAACGCCTGAGTTACTTCACTTAGAATAATTGCATGTTCTTTACTGAAGAAAACTATGGAGATACCCATTCTTGGAGTCTCTTGTACATGCAGCGTAACTATCACTGTTTTCCATCTGGAGGACTCCTGACATTTCAGCATGCATTATGCAAATAGCAAGTCCTTGGAAGGAACTACAAGTACGGGCGTTTTTGACTGTGGGAAAATTCATGGTTACTACAGGATAGTTGAACCTTGAAGAACCTCTGGGTGTGGGTACAAAGGTGGGGAAAGGTGAGCAGGGCCCCTACTCTTTATGGGAAAACCACTGGGAACGGCGGGATGTTTTAGAACAATTGTGAATTTTAGCCTGAAAATAAAAACAGTCTCCACCTTCATTCCCAACTTGAAAGGATTTTCAAAGTAGCCAACTGCTGGGAGTGGGGACATTAGTGGTTGGCCAAGGGGTATGTATCCCCAGTCTAAGTGAGAATGTCGCCTGCAGCAGAAATGAAAATTCAGGAATTCAGAAGGGTGGGGGCTTCTTACTTCTTGTCACATCGTTCTTTTAAATTCTCCAGATTCTCAATAGGCAGAAACCCTTGTATATTTTCATTTGATACAGAAAAGCCATAAGCAAAAAGTAAGGCATCATTGGGGCATAAAAAACAAATTAACAAGGGGGGAAACTATTTTCACTACGAATTTGAGTGGAAAACCAAAGAGAGACGACAAATCTAAATGGCATAAACAACATAGAAGCAGAGACGAGCAGAGTGAATTGTGAGGAAGTTTGGCAAAAAAAAATCTTCACAAACGTGTAAGATGTGAAGATTTCCCTGACCATAGAAGTGGGAAGAATATTTTATGCCGCCAGGAATAGGTCAACACTTAAAATACCGCGTTAAAGCTGAAATTCAGGATTATCTCAGAACTGCTTCCGGACGCATATTACAGTGTGACAAGAATAGCATTGGGCTGTGGTCGGATACAATGCTAGTTCAGCTTTTCCCCTAATAGTTAAGTTCCCATCTATGCCAATGGTTGATAAGATGAGGCATAGCTAATTTTGATTGTGAAAAGTGATAACATTGTGTCATATATTATAAAATGCTCTATAAACCGTACAGCACTATACAATGATAAAACCTATTTTCTAGAAAAAACAGACAAAAGTAATCAATTAGGAATAGAAGATGTTACTTGTGTGAGTCTGTCATTTAAAATAATTGAACCATTGCCATGTGAATACACAGTTTGAAGTATCTGTGAGTTGTTCAACCCAGTTCTTAATATTTAACTTTGGCAGTGTTGGCTGAAGCTATAGTTCATATTATTGAGGACAAAGGGTCTTTATGGAGTATGCCTTTCAGTTTACAAAGTTTATTTGTGACTGTCTACAGTATAAATAGCTCTGAAAATTTAGACACTTCTCTACATTTTCTTCATGGGTTTGTATTGTCATAACAAGATACCACAGACGGTGGCTTAAATAACACACACTTATTTCTCACAGTTCTGAGGCTAGAAGTTTAGGATCAAGGTTCCAGCTTATTCAGTTCTGGGTACGCATTGCGTCCTGGCTCATAGATGGCACCTGCTTTCAGCGTCTTCACAAGGCGGGGAGAGAGCTCTGGAATCTCTTCCTCTTTTTATAATCTCATCATGTTGGCCGCATCCTCATGATCCCATCTTCCTGTAGGTGTTTTCCAAAGGCCTGAGCTCTTAATATCATGACTTGGAGAGTTACAGCTTCTGTATATGAATTTTGGAGTGACACAACATTCTAAGCCAAAGACACACTGTATCCTGTGAGTTGCATGCACATTTATCAACGCCTTCTCCTGCAGCTTTTCCATGTAGCCTCTGTAGCTGCGCTGATGTCTCCTCCAGCTGTCCTTAGTCATTCTCTCATGCCTTAGAACAGCCATCACAACAGCGTGATACCTGATTCACACCTCTGTTACTACATCCAGAACAAATTAGAGCACATTGCAATCCGCTCCCAAAACAAAAAGATGCCCTAAATTTCCTGGCCTAAAACTTCCTATACATTATTGAGATTTGGCTGTCCCTGTCTGTTAGTGTGCTAAGATCTCACAGGTGTTGTAAAATGTGATCAGGGCCTGAGGCCCCATGTTTCACTGTGAAGTAGAGCTCTCTAAATGCACTGGCTACTGTTCAAAGGTCGCTGTGCACATCTGAAGGAAAGGAGGAAACTTCTTGTGGTCCAGGTGTTGTGCAGCATCTTTGTTCTTTTTCTGATTTTCCAATTGTTGTAAAATGCAAGCTTCTAGGAGGCAGTGTAAAAACAGTGGAACCTGTGGCTGGCAATGAAATGCACATTAGGACGCTAATTCCTTGTCTTCTCACTGTTCCCATATTGTGTTCCTTTCATTAAACCTAATGGGAGCGCTGGGAAGGGATCAAGAGGAGACGAGACCTCAGTAAATCACCGATGTCTCCGGAAAGGAAAGCTGCTTTCCCTTAAAAGCATGAGCACCGTCATGCACTGATGTCGTATGCTGGGGATATGTCTTTTTACATCAATATCAGAGTGCTCAATTAGTGATAAGTAGAGCCGGGTTGGGCAGGAGTAATTTCATCATCACCACGAGGAGGTGGAGAGACAGCAGCGACGAGACGTTTCCTTCCAATTATTTACCCCCAACATGCCTCAATCTATTCATTAGACCCTATGAGGATCTATATTTTTGAAACCCTTTGCCAAACTCACATAAGTGTGTTTCAGGCTGCGTGGTAGAATGTATTGAAGTAAAGTCCCCATATTCATGGATTTCTTACAATAATGCCTGTATTGGTAGGTAGGTTCCAAGAGTATGAATAGAAAAAAAATATGAGTGGAAGAAATCTATGAATTATGAATATTTGATAAATAAGATGTAAAAATTATATGTGCTTACCAAAAAGGAAAAAAGAGAGCCATGTGGGAACAGTTGTTTTTGTGGGGTTTGTGTGGTTACAGGGGTGACTGAGGCTCCCATGTCAGGTCACCTCTGCTGGAGGCTGCCAGGCGCTGGGAATCCTAGCACACAGCAGTGACCTCATTGGTAATAACAGGAGTCCTGCAGACAGGCTGTTTCCTCACTCGAGAGGAAGTTTCTCTTGAGGGCAGGGCTTGCTTTTCGTTTTGTTATCCCCATGAGACTTTCTCACAGACACCGAGTTTCACAGTTGCTCCAGTACAACGTGCTTTTTGAGGAAGCTATGAGATGGACAAGCAAGTGTCCATCTGAGTAAGAGCTATGAGATGCTCTCATGGTAAGAGCTAGTAGATGGACACGTAAAAGGCAGCCGTGCACATGACCTCTCCATGGCACGATGTGGCTGACATGAAATTGGAGGTCAGTTACCATTCTTGAGTTTATTAAATTTATTCTCAGCCTATTTTCCTTAGTTATTTCTTGTGACTTGCTGAAAACCTACAGAATCATATAAGGAAATAGGTAATGAAAGCCTGGAGGAGCAAATTAACTAAGCATACATGCAGATTCACAAAATTGTGAAGACCAAAATTAATATTTCATTTCCAGGCATCTATGACAGAAAGAGAAAGTTGGTGATTTACCACATTCTTATGAGCAGAAAGGAGAAGGTTCCAGATTTCTCTCAAGAGTGGCAATGCTCTTCTTAGCACTCACTTTGAAAATAAAATTTAACATGGGGCTTTGTGCCAGAGTCACAAAGTATTAAAAATGTTTGCTGCTCTGAACAGCAGAATCCAAAACTGTCAAAGCAAATTACCTGTGAGTTTTCCTTAATTTTTTTTTTCTTTAAGTCGCACCAATGCCATCCAAAACAACTCAGAGAACATGGAAAAAACAGGAACAACAACAAAAACAAAACCTTTAGAAATTTCTCTTTTCAGCAAAATGTATTGAGTGCCTTCTACTTGACATTGCTTTGCTGAGTATGGCAGGACATTGGGAAAGGAATGAAATGGGATCTGTCTTCAGGGAACCCACAATCTCCTTGGATCATAGTGTGGGAAATTATCATAGGTGGAATGTAGCAAGGAGTGTCAGAAATAGAGCACGTGTTCACTGATTGTGATCCCAGGGAAATGGAAAGATTGCTTCAGCCCAAGAGATTGAGAAAATGTTCATCATGAAAGTTTCATCTGAGGATTTTATAATGCAGAAATTAAGATGAAAGGAAAGAAGCAAAAATCTAAATGGAAAAAGAAATTCAAGAAAAGATGGTTGTAATCCCGTCTCACCCATTCCCTGCAGGCACCTTCACGCCCCCACCCACTGCACACTAATACCTATGTGTTCTGTGACATGTGTACTATGCCCTGTGACAAATCTGTACTAGACACTATGTAAATGGCTAACAAGTCATTTGCAAACAAATTCAAGGTACACATCTCAGTGCTAGTGCTGGTCAGTGCAGTGGTTGAGGTCAGTGCAGTGGTTGAGGTCACAGATGCTATTCTACAGGCATGCGACCTTGAGCAGCATTCAGCCTGAAGAATTTCATTCTCTACAAAATGTTGAGAGTAATGGGGCCCACTTCATAGGGTTCTTGTGGAGATTAAAAGGGTTCATAAGTAAAATATCTTAGAATAGGGAATGCGCAAGAAAGCTGTCAGTCACATTGATCAGGGTGGTCATAGGGTTGCATTGATGAAATAATTAATGCTTATGCAAATCTTGCCTGGTTTTACTTTGTCTTAATTGCTGAGAAGACACTCTGTTTCACAGGCTCTTGTGATATTATATTTGACTATTCAACAAATATTTATTAAGCGTTATGTGTTAGTCACACTTCTAGACCCGGGAGACAGCTGAATTAATAAACAAAAGGAAACTGCTTTCCTTGATGAAGCTCATGCTAGTAGAAGAAGCAGCAACTTGAAGAAAGTTCAGGAATCTTCATCAACGTCATGATAGTTACCTTTCAGTTTTAGTAATTAAAAACGCATTGACTCTATGAGAAAAAAATGATAAGTATAACCTGACAGCTAAAAATAATTAAGAAGTTACATTTTTAAATAATTTTTAAAATGGTATTTAAAGTATTTTTGAAACCAGTACATATGTCATTTTAAAATAAGCATAAGTTATCTCGTATTTGAAACCTTAGGTTATGCATTCTTGGTGTAGAATTTCTACTATATAGGTAATGTATTTTCTCTATTAGATTCTTACAAGTTCGTGACCCCCCCAAAAAAATTTAACATATCAAATACAGATTTCAATCAGTATATATTGAATATATTGATCTTTTCAGGATCATAATATTTTAAATGTTAAAAACTGATAGATTAAAAACTGATTTTAATGTTAAAAACTGATAGATAAAACATACTGCAAATAACTTTTATGAAACTAATACATTCACTCATTTGCAACTAATGAAAACATAATATTTGTGGAAAAATGAAGGACAACAATAACTAAAAATTTTATATGAAGAATGTATTTGAATAAAAATAAACCTATATGGGTTTTTTAAGTTATCAGAGAAATCTTTTGAAGACTTGGACATGACATTTTCTGTTTTATTTTAAAGTTTGCATGTAATGAAGTCGTTGTCAACCATGGCTTTTAAATCCATCATCTCCTGTACATTTCCTGAATCGGGACCATTAAGCACTGCTGGGCACCTACAGGCACTTTAGTCATGGGAACCCTTTTTCTAATCCACACGAGGTGCCCAGCTTCTCTCTGATAAAGCGCTGCCCGTCATCCCGACAGTGGGAGAAGCCATGGCAGCAGCAACCTGTGGATGAAGTTTCTGTGCTACTTGATGGAGACAGTGTCACTCCACTGTGATGTATTAGTGCATTTTCTAATTGAATTTTTCTAAGGGTTGTAAATGGTTATCATCTAGTATTAAAAATAATGCTCACTGTAGCTCATATCATAAAAAGAAACATAACATTATTATATTGCAGTTCATGTCCACAAACATCCAAACTGTTCTAAGGGCATTTTGTGTAAAAAAGGTATAAAATAAAATAGCAACAACCCCAAGCTCTCATACTGATAAATAACGAAGCAAGTAATGGCATAAACCAAGTAATCAATTATGTAACAATAACATCGTAACAGGATGCTGAATGAAAATCATACTGTAAGATGAGGCATGCCTCTCGTTTGCATTCCATGGAAACATGCATAGTGGTTTTCAAGTTATTAAAACTAGTTTTTAACGTTAAGAAATAAACTTCAGTGTACAGATGTATATTAGCAAATAAGATTTAAAATACTTTAAAATTTATATTCCATTTTCACTGCAAAGAACTCAAGCATTCCACATAGGGAAAATCCTGGATTCTTAACAGGTGTTAGTTTTGATTTGTTCGAAGTAATCAAGATAATTTTATTGTAGTAGATAAAAATATATGTTATTTTTAAATTCTTAAATTATGATAACACCTGATTTTATATCTTACTCTGGTAAAACATTAATTGCATCATTGGAGATGCTTTATAAAAAATTGTGAATTAATGATTGAATTACCAATAACTGTAAAGAATTCCGTAAGTATACCAAAATTTAGTTTTGCCTGTTCTGTTCTTCATCTTATATAAAATTTTCATTCTGTTATGTAAAAAAAAAAAGAGCTGCACGCTGTTTTTAAAGCAGTTTAAACAGTTCTTTCATCTAATAATTACTGAATGTTTAGTAAAAACAAGGGTTGTTATTAGAAAAAGGATTGCCACTAGTTCTGAAAGCAAACATTTAAATATTTTGAGACAACTAAACAACTACTATGAAAGATTTTATTTTTAAAAATAAATACTTTTTTTCTGTTTTAATACATTTTAATAAGTAGCCATATACTATTATTTGCACATACCCTTATGAATATCCTGGTCGAAGTGAAAATAAAAATACATGTTTAATTTCCTCCTTCTTTTAAAAGCTGTATATTTGATTCCATTTCTTTCAACTACTCAAACAGTGCTTAAGGGGCAAAAGGAATAAAAAATCAAAAAAGAATACTAGATTTATAATTTAAAAATCAAAGAAAAATAATTATTTAAGATAATTATATTATTTAAAAATAACTCTTATGAAAGGTTTCCTGGCTTTGATCTTTCAGCTAATAAACTGTGGGGGTGTGTGCGAGTGCCTCTGTACATGTAGACACACACACACAAAACTACCTATTATGTGGGTACAAAAAGTAATTAGAAATAATAAATAAGACCTACCATTTCAGAGCACAACGAGGAGACTATAGTCAATGATAACTTCACTCTACATTTTAAAGTAACTTAAAGAGTGTAATTGCATTGTTTGCAACTCAATGGATAAATGCTTGAGGGAATGGATATCCCATTTTTCATGATGTGCATGTTTCACATGGCATTCCTGTATCAAAACATTTCATGTAACCCATCAATATATTCATCTACCATAGTTACCCATAAACACTTAAAATTAAAAAACAGCAACTACATATTAAACACATAAAAGGCCAGGGCTGGTTTCTGAGAAATAGATACTGTGTCTCAAATAATGAAACACTGGTTGGTTTGCATTAGTGTATCAATGAAATAGCCACTGTTCTTGCAAAGTGATAAAGGTCTTGCATTCACACCTCTGTTGCCAGTACCAAGGATACTGTGAGGTACTTGAGGGAGTAAACAGATGACAATCAGGAAGCATCACAATGATGAAATTGTTTCTCTTTCCCTTTTTTCCTTCTTTTTTAAAATTCTAGAATGACAAGAAAGAATTTTGTTGTTTGTAGAAGTACGTTTGTTCTTATACCAGAATGATTTGTTGGGATGTATGCTATTTTTTAAAATAAACAACTTCAGAAATATTGCAACATATTTTCAAAAAATTTTTATAATTTGCATAAACTTCACTAGTAGGGTGTGACAGGTGACAACAGTAGGTGAATACATGAAAGTTAAATATTCTTTTGAAAATCTTCTATCTAGCACCAAGCAGAGTGCAGACATTCAACTGATATTCAAATCCCTCGGCAGGTGGGAGAACCCTAAAGAGGCTCATGACCAAGCCATAGCTCTCACTCCCACCTGCCAGGGAACAGCTCTATGTAGGGCACAGCTGCATGCAGCACCACCATTTAAGGTAACAGTTTTTCCACGTTTTCAGACAAAACATGGATTCGTTAGAATTTTATTTTCATAACTTTCCAACTGTCAAGAAAGCAGGCTTGCAAAAATTAGGTATTCTGTAAAACAAACATTTGTTATCAAAGCACACTTATCTGTGATCTTATTGGTAAACACTGTTAGAAGAGAAAAATAAATGTAAAATTTAAGCAGTAAATGTTTTTCCACATAAGTATTGTGAGTAATTTTTATTTCATTTTATTTCCTTCATTTCCTACTTTGCCCATTTAGGTTGTTTTCCATTTTTACATTTTGATGGTTTTTATTTTTTCCGTTTGCTCTTTTATAAGATTCTGAGGTAAATGTCAAAGATATGTGTGAATATCCAAAATTATTCCCATAAAATAGATTCCTAAAATGTGCTAGATCATTGAATATATACATTTTTAATGCTTTTAGCTGGTGCTGTGTGTTTACTCCCACAAGTAGTGTTGAAAAGAAGCTATTTGCAATATCCATGCTAACACTGGTCATAATCTGTTACTATTCTTACTATCACATGTAAACTAACTTAAGCAAATGGCTTAGTAGTACATTAAAAATAAAGGCCGTTTTATAAAGATGAATAGCATAAGAGGCCCTGTGAGCAATATGTGGTCACACGTGCTTATTCAGAGAACCATATTCCTAAAGAATGACAGAGGCAAAAATTCATTCCAATGAGAAAGGAATGAAAGAAGCCAAGGAATCACTGTTTACAAAGACCTAAAGTTACATTAAATGTTAATCACTTGACTTTCTAATATACTTGTGTTTGTATAAAGAAAAAAGAGCTTTAGCAAAAATTAAATGATATTTTGAGAAAAAGTGACAATCTTGGAAAACTGGATTTCTAACATTGTGTTGGTACCTTATGTATCTAGTACTTATAAAAATGAACACAAGGTCAATACTATTTAATTGAAGTTCTTTTTTTTTTCTCCCTGCTTTCTTCAACAAAGTGATAGGAAATCACATCTATGGTCTTAGAAGGGCCAGGCACAGGGGTTCAACCTGTCATCCCAGCACTTTCGCCGTCCCAGGCAGGAGGATCTCTTGAGCCCAGGAAGTCAGGATCAGCCTGGGCAACATACAGAGCCCCTGTCTCTATGAAAAATTTACAAATTACTTAGGAGGTTGATGCAGGAGGATTACTTGAGCCTGGGAGGTCAAGGCTGCAGTGAGCCAGGATCACCCACTGCACTCCAGCCTGGGCAACAGAATGACACCCTGTCTCAAAAAAATAGACAAACAAGAACAAAAAAGTCAACAAAAAAATCAACAAAGAAACAGAAACCTAGTAGATACACAGGCAAGCTAAATATTTCAAATAATTCATGCAACAGACAGAGAAAGTAAGTTAATATTTAATTCTGTTCTCTACACTGGTAATTCCTTTTACTGAATTTAAGAAAATGCATCGGCCTTGGTGGTCTACGAGAAACTCACTGGAAGAGGCTCGTATCCTTGCATCCTTTCTCCCTCTGAGTACCCCCATGTTCCACACGGATCAGGATTGTCTTGAGACTCCCTTGAGGAAATAGAAGTAGAAGTGACCGTCAAAACTGAACATATTCTACAAAATTATGGTATTAATTTTTTAATTTTTCATTGACTTTGACTGCTTCATATTTAAAATTTAATCATAGATTCGGGAGTTCTGATTTATCACATAGATTTTTTAAAGTTGTCAACTTGCAATTGCATTAGTCGAATCCCAAAGCTTATAGAGAGGGCCAAAAAATATATTGAAAAACATTTTATAAAAACTTAATAGGGACAGTCGTCATTTATATTTTCAGAACATTACAGAAAGAGAACACATGTGAACCGGCAGCTGCAGCCACTGGAAACTCAGGAGAACCCATGAGGAGGTGAGGAGAATAGAAATCACAGTGCAGAGATTAAAAACTCAGGCAGAAGTGCGCATGGTCTGTAGGCAGAAGCAGCGCCTCTGAACACGAAGAGGACATTTGGTGTTGCTTCCCTCCATCATGCCAGGAGGCAGCGTAAATAGAATATTTAACACCGTGTGATTTCAGCACCATGTTGGATCACATGGTTCTATGTCATCAGACATCGGCTCCCCCATTTGTATTAAGATTCCATGTAGGCCGGGCGCGGTGACTCATGCCTAAAATCCCAGTACTTTGGGAGTCTGAGGCGGGGGGATCACCTGAGGTCAGGACTTCGAGACCAGCCCGGCCAACATGGTGAAACCTCATCTCCACTAAAAATACAAAATTAGCGGAGCATGGTGGCAGTCACCTGTAATCCCAGCTACTCAGGAGGCTGAGGCAGGAGAATGGCGTGAACCCGGGAGGCGGAGGTTGCAGTGAGACAGATGGTGCCCCTGGACTCCAGCCTGGGTAACAAGAGTGAAACTCCATCAAAAACAAAAACAAAAAAACAAAAAACAAGATGCCATGCCACCTGTTAAGCAGAGGTGCACCTCATTCATGGACATATAAATATACATTTTATTAGAGGTTCCACGTGCTACTTGATGTTCATGTTTCTAGCAAATCTATGAAGATTCCTCTTGAGTTTCCCTAGATCCTTTGCTATTCATTCTGTTGGGTCTTTAACAACATTTCCGTTGCAAATCACTAAGATCTGGCTTCAGGGTCCTTAATCGTCCTCCTGGAGTCCTTAAAACCAAGAATGTGAACATTCTCATAATTTCTTCTGGTTTACAGAAGAGACAAGAGTTTCTCATGGCCATGTCCTGGGGTAATAAAATCCATATTGTTCCCTCCTAATCAATCTCGTTTCAGATTTACTGTTTGGTCGGAGTTGCAAAATGAGCTGCTGCGATCTTATGCTGGTATAGGATTCTCTGTGTTGATCACCGTGCCTCTACTCTTAGAAAGACTGTTTCAAAGGCTTCGGACATACAGCGTTCTGGTCTGTTTAGTTGATTAAATTGGGAGGTGCTTCTGGGCATGCATTTAGTTTGTAAAAGAAAGTCCCTTGTTCAAGAGGTTCCTATTCAACTGCCAAATGTCACATAAAATGATTATTTTAGAGCATGATTGAGCATTTTAAGATTTCTCACAAAGGAAGGTTTTTAATTTTAGAGCAGCACCTAACATAGACTACTTAGTAGTTTGGTAGCTCAGTATGCTGAAGGGAAAGGTGAGAAAGAATTATTGCCAAATTACTGAATCAAATGTTGACTGACAACTCTTCCCTGAGTGACAGAAAATGCTGGGAGAGGTTGTTTAAATAAAATGAGGGATTTTTTTGGTTTGTTTGTTTTTGCAAATTATCCAGAGCTTTGCTTTCTAATTTGACAGCTTTCTAGAAATGCACTTATAGATGGATACTTCATTTAAAAATCTCCCCGTCTTTCTCTTGGTAGGAGGTTAGATTTCTTCTTCAGTGATTTAAAATGGTAATATGTATGATTCCTCTGTGGCATCTACACATGGTTATTTTATTGTCAAAATCATCCTTTGGTGTGTGAACCATGTCCACTACTGACATCAAAGCAAGGAACCTTTACACTTTTTAAATGTGGTAGCATTTTCTTAAATCTTTATTTAATTTTATGTCAAGTTACGATGGAATGAAATTTCAATTATGCCGTCACCTATTTTCTGATGTGGATTTTATTTTCATTTTACAGAGATTTCACCAAGTTAAATAACTTGTACAAGGGAAAGGGGAAAAAAAACACAAACTTATAGACCAGGATCTTAAACAACACTAGTGACCATGACCACCCATCTCCAGGCTGCTGCATGGAAGAGGAGGTATAAGTGAGAGATTGGAGCAATGTTTTTCAGCTTCTGAGCATTCTGTGATGTTCCATTAGGAAGCAAGTAGCGAGAGCATGGGCCTGGGAAGCCCTTTCTCCACCCAGCCTCATCTTTTGCAGCTACAGCCACTCTTTTTATCTTTATTTATCGAGACAGAGTCTCACTCTGTCACCCAGGCTGGAGTGCAGTGTCACGATCTAGGCTCACTGCAACCACTGCCTCCCAGGTTCAAGCAATTCTCCTCCCTCAGCCTCTCGAGTAGTAACATTACAGGCATATGCCACCAAGCCTGGCTAATTTTTGTATTTTTAGTAGAGATGTGCTTGCACCATGTTGTCCAGGCTGGTCTCGAACTCCTGAACTCAAGTGATCCACCTGCCTCGGCCTTCCAAAGTGCTGATAGTACAGGTATGAGCCACTGTCCCTGCCCTGCATTAGGTCTTAGTAAAGAAGAGTAGTCGGTTTCAATGCCTTGAAAACTTTGAGATAAATCATTACATCTGAATTACATGAATCTTTCTTGCAAGAAAAGATGATGTGTGATCGAATATAACCAGCAGCCAAATCTTGTCCTATACTGGATCAGTGTTTTCTCTGTTAATTTTGTATTGTAATTACAAATCCCCACCCATCTTCAGCATTTTGGTTGTTGAGGCTGCTTAAATGCTATTTACACATTAGATAATACACAGACCCTGTAGTAAGAGCAAGCTTAATGACTAACACTATCAGCTTTCGGGATTTAGGACAGTAGAGCCTCAGACTGTGTTCTATGTAGAGAAAGACATCTTCCTTAGCGAATATTCCATCTGAAATACACCTGTTCTCTTGGTTATTGTTCAAACCTTCTGAAAATCTGAAAAAAAATGGCATTTGCAGTATGTTGCTTTATTAAGTATTTTGAATCCGGAAGATGTACTTAACTAAAAAGATTCTTAAAGAGAAAAGCATTGTGTGGGTTGCTGAGTGTGTGTCCATGTGAACCCATGAAGGAAGAAGAGCCGTGCTCAGTGACCACACTGAGCTGGTGCCCAGGTTGGATTCTTGTAGGATCAGGGAGATTATAGCCCTCTGTCCAGGCAATACTCATGCTGCCTATGAGTATTGTCCAGGCAATACTCATACTACCTATACCTGGAAAACAAAGTACATTGAGAAATATGATTATGGCACATTGTTTTTTATTATTTATTATTATTATTATTATTATTTGAGACGGAGTCTCGCTCTGTCACCCAGGCTGGAGTGCAGTGGGTCGATCTCGGCTCACTGCAAGCTCTGCCTCCCGGGTTCACGCCATTCTCCTGCCTCAGCCTGCCGAGGAGCTGGGACTACAGGCGCCCGCCACCACTCCCGGCTAATTTTTTGTAATTTTTTTTTTTTTTTTTTTTTTTAAGCAGTGACGGGGTTTCACCGTGTTGGCCAGGATGGTCTCGATCTCCTGACCTCGTGATCCGCACACCTCGGCCTCCCAAAGTGCTGGGATTACACGTGTGAGCCACTGCGCCCGGCCAATTGTGGCACATTCTTAAGCGAGCAAGGGAAATGCTGTCATCATAAGTTACTTTCCTTATCTATAAGCGTATATTCTCAAGCAAATTGGATATGTAGATTAAGGTAGTTAGTTCACACGTAATATTAAATTAGGTTCTTTCTTCTTGGCCTTTGTTGGACTCATCTCTTGCCCACTTCCCTTATTTTCCCTTTGAAGCTCACCCCAGCACGTATTGACAAGGACAATTGTAGGCAGGGAATGGAGGGGAAATGTGAGTAATGCACGTAAAAATAAATCAGTTGTGAACCGTCTGACTCTACACAGAGGTCAAGCTGGTGATATTTGCTGAACTCACTCATGCTTCATTTATTTCAGTTCTCTTTAATTCTCCATCCAAGTCCGCAACACATGTATTTCAACAACTTTCCATCTGTTTTTTTTTTTTTCCTTTTAGCAAAGATCCTGAATGAGGACTTTGAAAGCATCAGGTGATACAGGTTGAATGACAACCTCCCTAGAGAATAATGAGCCTGCAGTTCCATGTTTACAAGTTCAGGGTCGGAATGGAGAAGCCGTACCATCATTTCCATTCAGGTGTAAGGGAAGGAACAAAGGGAACAAGAACAGTATAGAGAGAGAATTAAAAAAGCAGAAGAATTAGATCAGAATAGGAAAATAGCTGAAGTGGGGAAGAGCAAAGCAGTAGAGAGAATCAAGTTAGAAAGTGAAAAGGAATACATAAACATTTTAAGTAGCAGAAAGATGCAAATAGACAAAATTAGTCCGTTTCTCTATGAAAATCATGGCTTTCTTTCCTTGTTAGAATAGCTTGCTCATGTCTGATTTCAATATCTGGATTACCTCAACTAAAACGGCCTTGGAGATTATTTCACCAATTGACACTCTACAGTGGAAGATGTACCCTCCACTCCTGAAAACAGAATGGAGAATTTGAATTATCTCTTGATCATAAAGACCAGCCTTTTAATTCATCGGCATTCAAGTCATACTGAAAATCTGATACATCCAGTGTGTTGTATGCAGCATAATAGAGCTTAGTGTCTGTACAGAATTGATTAAAATAGAAAATACATTATTTCTTGGGATTTAATCTAAGACCTATAAATCAGTGTGTGTGCGCGCGCGCGCGTGTGTGTGTGTGTGTGTGTGTCTGTGTGTGTGAATGCCTGCAGCCTGCCAGGCATGGCATACGCTGTGGTGGCAGATAGCATGAAACACAGCACATGGTCTTTGCCCTCAAAGACCTTGCAGGCTAATTGAAAAAATAATGAATATGAGTAGTGCATGCCAAAAACTGCAAACCAATGTTTACAGAAAAGAAATTGGCAAGAAAATAAACCTGAAACAAAAGAATACAATTTTCTCCCAGGAACTGATTCTCCTGTTTCTCCCAATAAATAAATAACAGAAATGGAAACATATATCTATAAAAAATATATGTAGGTAATTATATATAATACCTGATATATATGTATTATATATTTATCAGAATTGTTTTCAAGACGCAAGACTTGGATGTTTATAAATTTGGGAGAGTGAATGATGACTGAGCAAGATGCTATTTCTTTCCCTCTTCTCCATCAGTTACTGTCCAAGCCCCTCTGCATTCAGTTTAAGTATCTTTGCAATATTGATTAAATATGGGCGGAAATCATTTAGCCAATAAGCTGGCAATCTGGCATATTTTATACCGTGGTACCTTAGACATTTTCTCCTTTGCCGTCCTATTAACTGAGATATTATAAGTAGCATGGATGGGAGCCTATTCCCTAAATTATGAAGTACATTCGTAGTCCCTACTCCTGGACATTCGTTATTTTATTCTAGAGTCATTCATTCTCTCACCAGTGTCTTCTGCTTCTTTCTAAAATTGAATCTATGCTTCATATTAACATTTTATTCTCGCTAAATTATGCTTTCTCAAAAGACCTTGACAGTTCTTATTTCTTATAAAATCATAACCATTGGCCGGGCATGGTGGCTCATACCTGTAGTCCTAGCACTTCAAAAGGCCAAGGCTGGCACAGTATGAGGTCAAGAGTTCAAGACCGGCCTGGCCAACATGGTGAAACCCCATCTCTACTAAAGGTACAAAATATTAGCCAGGTGTGGTGTCACATGCCTGTAGTCCCAGCTACTCGGGAGGCTGAGGCAGGAGAATCTCCGGAAAGTGGGAGGCAGAGGTTGTAGTGAGCTGAGATGGCACCATTGCACTCCAGCCTGGGCGACAGGGTGAGACTCCATTTCAAAAATAAATAAATAAATAAATAAAAAGAAATTTTAAAAAATCATAACCATTAACACTAAGGCCTGGAATTGAAAGACCTCTCTTTCCTGACCTAGTTGTTCAGGCTCTATTGTTTCAGCCGAACCATAGTTTTTCAACTTTACTTTGGTTTTGTGATATCGTCTACTCAAACAGAGAATTCTACGCATAAACATTCTACCCTTTTTCCGAAGGCCATCACGAAAACCATGTCTCTAAGGCAATGTATTTGTAGAACGCTTGTTCACACAAACTCTTCAAAACATTGTCTTATTTAAGCATCAAAGAACATTATCTTCATGGTAGCATTTCAGAAACCCATGCTTAGAGACCTGAGTTCCCTGTTTAAGGGAGGAGACCAAAGGCTGAGTGGAAAGCATTTGCCGTCTCTGTTCAAGTTCAGCCCCTCCTTCCGCCCTTGTCTCCTGGTCTTTTGTTATGAACTCTTACTGTTAAAAAGCAAGAAACTATTAAAATATTAATAACACAATTACAATAATAATAGCCTGAAGTTATCCATTTACTAAGTCAGCTACTGCGGCGAGTGCTTTATGGATTTTATCTCAATATTTACAAGCACATTGTGTAGAAACTATCACCTACTTTATACACAGAAAAAACCGTGGCCTAGAGAGTTTGCTGTGACTCTCCAAGAATTACATGACGAGGATAAACCCCCAAAATGAAGACAAATATTTAAGAACTTAATTGTATTGAACTTTTTAAAAGTAGGCATAATATGCAATCACACTTTTTCAAAAGTGGAAACCCCACTAAGTGAATAACCGTGTATTATTTCATTTGTGAGCTTAACAGATTGTCAGCAAATAATTGTTGGATACATTAGTCCTTTATGAAGGATACAGGACAATGTATGTGTCACGCAAGTACATTGCAATGGATTTTGAAGCGTTTATTTAATAACTATGGTCCATTTAAAAGTAAAAATATAGAGACACCTCAACTTGAATAGCAAATTTAAATATTTCTTTGCAACTAGCTAAAACATTACAATTGGGATTTAAGTGGATCAGAGAATTAACCTGCAAGACTTCTCCAGTGTATTTATTTCCTGGTGGTGCTCATTTCTTCCTATGAGAGCTTGGAGTATGGCAGGCTAGAAAGAGAATACAAATGCGGCAAAATGAGGCATACCAGCACCTGTGTCTCCTTCCACTGGCTGATTAAGGCCTCAGTCAAAAAACAGGAGCTATGCTAAATTATACGTTGGAATTGATACAAACAAATGTGAATTAAGTTGTACCAGTGCTCAAATAAGTCACGGTGACACAATGAGACTTATGGCCGCGTGACTGTGGAACGCTCCCTAAAGCAGCCTGTGAGCTCTAAGCCCCAAAGGAGGGATAGCCACAAAAAGTATAATTTAGTAAATCACTCTCATTTATACAGTCTTTAAAAAAATAAATGCCTTTAATGTTTACTTGTTAAGATGAAAATTGGTCTTCACCCTCTTGGGTGAATTTTACGCAAAACTTTTTTTTCTGAAAGCAGGTTCTTTTTACTGTTGACAAAAAAGTTATTCAAGCAAGCACCTCATGCTGTGCTATCAATGAAAGTAATTTATGCAAAGCATGAAGTTTCTTTGTGCATTCTGGGGATGCTTCAACTCATTCTGTTTGACTTAATACCTTTAAATCCAACGAACTTTTTCTTCTTTTTCTTCTGAAAGGGAGGAAATTTGGGATACAATGAGTTAGAAATTCTTCCGAGTGTCAGTTAACATCTATACCTTCATTTCTTAAACTGCGGTTTTAAGATTATATTTACATTTGATGTTGATTTTATTTCAAAATATTAAGTTTCTGTCTGACTTAGGTTGCTATACATATACTATACTATTGTGATATTCATATAGCTTTTGTTTTGCTATCAAAATTATTGCAGTTTGTCTACGATGAAATCTATGTATATTCACTTACACACATACAAAATCATACGCACATAGCTTTAGTATTTAAAAATGAAACAATATACCATATGTGCTACTAAATTTAAACTTTATTTTTTGTTTACTTAGTAGATTTTAATATTTTTAAATTGAAATACGAATTTTATGTTTATAATAGAAAATTTTCTGAATTTTAAAAT
Organism: Homo sapiens; assembly: GCF_000001405.40. NCBI lineage: Eukaryota > Metazoa > Chordata > Mammalia > Primates > Hominidae > Homo > Homo sapiens. The sequence goes on along the minus strand of NC_000008.11, from coordinate 3,963,507 downwards.
GTACACCCCAGGTACTTCTATTGCATAATGTTCAGTTATGAGGCATTCATTCACCTTAAGTTGGACAAAGAGACCAGCGAGATATTTTCAAGCTACTTAGGAACCATGGAGTATAGGATGTCATATATTACTGAAAATCTTGCTAAGTAAACACCACACGTTCTTTCCAACATATTTAATTGGCTTATCTGGGTGAGAGCCATGGATTTGGAACCTTTGTTTTTCATGCATTCCTCAAACTCGTAATTATTACAATTACAATATTCAAAACACTGAGGCCGGGTGCGGTGGCTCAAGCCTGTGATCCCAGCACTTTGGGAGGCCGAGAATGGAGGGTTACTGGAGGTCAGGAGTTTGAGTCAAGCCTAGCCAACATGGTAAAACCCCGTCTCTACTAAAAAACACAAAAATTAGCCAGACGTGGTTGTGCATACCTGTAATCTCAGCTACTCCTGAGGCAGGAGAATTGCTTGAACCTCGGAGGCAGAGGTTGCAGTGAGCCGAGATTGCTCCACCGCACTCCAGCCTGGGTGACGGAGCAAGAGTCCATCTAAAAAACAAAACGAAACAAAAACTGAGTGAAAAGTTTTGTGGAAAAAATAGACATAATGATAAAAACAGGCTTCAGTTGTTTTACAGCTTGAATAATAGAAATCATGTCTGTTTTATCACAACATGTAAAATGTGAAAAGAAACTTATTGCCCTCAATGTTTTTAAAAATATGAATATTGTGGAAACATAGATGCCAGCCTCTGAGAGTGTCCAGCCTTGAGTCCAACCCGAAGAGTCTGCAAGAAAGGGCCGCACCTCTGCACCACACTCCCCACCCAGCTGCTCTGATTTCCATATCTAACTGCAATTGAATGTCCATGCTCTCCTTTTCAGCCAATGATCCTCTCCTTTCCTCTTCATAGCATGGATTTCATTGCTTACTCCTCGTGTGAAATCATGACCCCTACACTTTGCTTACCTGCGATTAGCCTATTACGTTAATATAGGGGTTCCTGCATGCTGGCTGTCATAAACAGGGGGTGACATCCAAGGAGATCCATGCTCCCTCTCACATCACCCAGCTGAGAGGTGAGGGTGGTAGACCTTGAATTCAGGACTGCGTGGTGACAACGCCCGTGCTGCCTGACTCTGCTCTAGTGCACTGTACTTGGGATCTTAATCCTGCATAATCTGTCACTGCTGGAACCAAATCCCAAGTTGAATGTGTAGGGCAGTTCCAGGACAGAAGAACCTCATCATGACCAAATCTGGAGTGAACAGAAGAAAATCTTGACAGGTGCAAAACAATCCCATTCTGGAATGTGGTATATTCAAACCACCTCAGCAGAGCAGGTCTATGAAGTAGGTGCTCAGGTGTGGGCTGGACACAGAAAGAGGAGGAAGGTCCTGGCTGGGTCTGAGTCCAAGCTCAAGTTATCTCTGAGAATGATGGTCCGTGCACCTTCTCACATGTCCAGGAACTCTGAGGAAATAAGATGACACAAGCACGCATGTCTTTGTGCAACTTTGTGATGTTTTGCTGCATTGCTTTTCCTTTCAATATGTGGTATTTGAGGAAGAAAGCGCCCAAGCCCATTCGTTTTTGAGCAATGACTCAAGAAGTCGTAAGGCAGGATGCGCTGTTTTAGGACTAAAGGGACATCTCTTCCTCATGATGCTGCCTTATTTATTTAATAGCATTTCTAGCGGGAAATATTAAAAACCCAGTGCACCATTATCAAAGCTGATGCCTTCATCATGAAAGACCGGGCTTTACTACATACGCAGGAAATGCTCCCATGAGTATCGCAGCAATCTTTTTCTTTTTTGAAGTTTGCTTTCACTTTATTTATTATTTGTTTATTATCAAGAATGTTACATAAAACAGATTTTGTGTTACAAATGGTGCCTGAGTAAATTATGATCTCAAAGCGTTTTTATAGATACCTTTAGTGGAAATTTCTGCCTAGGATAGATTTCCTATTGTCTTCACAAAGCAAGAACAAAATCTTAATAATGAACGCATATGGGGCTAGACTTTTAAAATGTCATTTTTAATTTAAATCTGTGTCAAAGATCACCTGTGGGAATATTTGGCACTTGGGGAAAATAAACTGAAACTGTGTACAGTGGAGTCTAGATAATCAGAATCCTTGTTCTTCAGTGGCTTACCCGGTTAAAAATGTTTCCTTAATTGAAAGGATGACTTTTATGCTCATATAACTTTTATGCTTATATAACTTTTATGCTTATAACTCAGAATCCTTTTTTCTTCAATAGCTTACTTGGTAAAGAAAATCTCCTTAATTGAGACAATGACTTTCATGCTTATAGGCAGAGAAAATGATAACTTAGTGAAATACAGAGACTATTATGGGCAAGAAGAGATGCAATTTTTAATTATTAGCTTCTTGGAGACTTTGTAGCCTTTGAGTTTGTTCATGTTCAATTTTGTTTGATTTCTGAATTATCTTTTCCTCTTTTTTAAAATGGGAATTGTACAATTTATAATTTTCAGATAATTTAATATATTTTTAAAAGAATTTAAATCATACAATATTAAGAGGATAGTATTATCCATTTATTCCAGAGGAATAATCTAAGTCTAGAGGACTTTTGTGATATGAGCTTTGTATAAACATTAGGTATAAAAGTGTGTCATTTTATGACAATGTTACGATTGCAAGGTAATTTTAATTCAGTAAAAATAATAAATTGTAATTTTCCAGTTTCTACATATGTTTTTATCACTTCTTGATTTTAAATCAATTAATTATAAAAATGAATTAAATTTATCCTTAAAAAGAAATATATCTTATTAAATTTATCTTTATAAAAAGTTTTATCATAACTTCTTGATTTATAATCAATTAATCAGTGCATATTAATATTTCCATTAATGTTATATACAATATTTAAAATAACTTTTTTGCTTTATCAGTAATTAAATCCTCAAGACTAAAAATGCTTTCCTAATTGGCACACTTAAATGCTAATTTTTAAATTTTCTCAATATTTATAAGAATCAGTCTTTAAAGGCATAAATAATATTCGCCCCTGTGTTGAAAATTGTATTTCTCACTAGCATTGAGGGACTATCTAGTCTTCTGTCTGGTGCATAGAAGACATTCACGCCATGCTTTTAAGTAGTAGCGTGATGAGGAAAGGGTGTCAATTACATTTGGAAAGTTTAATGTACTTTAAAGGTTTGCAGAGTAACATTTGCTAAATTCCTTATTAGATGGCACTTAGGATTTGCTGTTTCCAGAATGTGAGGAGAGGAAATAAAATTTTCTTAGAAATAGATTCCATGATTGAAAGAAAAATTCACAAGTAAAGGCAACATACAAGAAGATACGCTGTAAAAAATGTCTGTAAGTTTCTATCATTATCATTTTGAACAACCTGTGTTTCCACTTAGCTCCAGCACTGTTGTCTAATAAGATGATCATCCTGAAACACATTCCCTGAGATGCCCAGAAGGCTCCTTGCAAAGGCTTGAAATAGCTTCACGCACATACTGTGATTAACACACTCTTTGTTATTTCGTAAATGTTCAAGTACCACATGATCAAATGGCTAGTACAGGGCTTCAGGGAATACCCATACATCTAAATAATAAAAGGAATGAAGGCAGATCACACGTTATATACCTCACAATATAGAAAGTTTTTCTCTACATCACTTGGTGTATAATGCCAGAAGGTGCTAACAGGTCAGAGTACCTGCAGCTATTCCAATCACAAAACTGAAGACATACCTAAGTTTGAGTGTGTTCCCGCTGCAGTTTCAAAACATTCTGTGTTCAGGTATATCATATAAAGAAACTTACCTGCTGTACTAGGACATAAGTCAAATAAGAGAAAGCATGGCAAAAACATAAATTACAAGTGAGATGCTGTGATTTGGAGCATTTGGTCAAATTATTTTTAGATTAAAAGAGACAAAAACTATGGGAACTCTTTGTCTCTCTTTTCTTTCTTTCGTTCGTTGGTTTGTTCTTTGATTATTTCTTTCTTGACGGAGTCTCGCTCAGTCATCCAGTCTGGAGTGCAATGGCGTGATCTTGGCTCACTGCAACCTCCACCTCCCAGGTTCAAGTGATCTTCCCACTTCAGCCTCTTGAGTAGCTGGTACTACAGGCTGGCGCCATCACACCCAGCTAATTTTTGTATTTTTAGTAGAGACAGGGTTTTTTGCCATGTTGCCCAGGCTGATCCCACATTTCTGGCCTCAAGTCCTCCTGCCTTGGCATCCTAAAGTGCTGGGATTACACACGTGTCCCACCCTGCTCTGTCTAGAAACTATAAGAATTTTTTAAGTCAGTTTTTAAAAAGATGCCCTGTAACTTCTTATACTCAAATTATGCTTTTAAATATGTAAAGACTGGTGTGCGATATAAAAGTGAAAGCATGTGACAGAGGCGTTGTTAAGAGCTGAGCTTGAGAAACATGGTGCTGGGGAGTAGGAAGTATGGAGGAGCATGGAGAAGCCGCCGCAGAGTAGGGAGGAGGGAGACGCATGGGAGAAGGCCCAGACCGGGAGCTCACAGATCCTAAGCCAAGGTCAGGGCTCAAAAAATGTGAGTTGCACAAATGATTGTATATTAGAATTGTCACGTTCACTGAATATCTGTTCTCTTTTTCCATTATCATCTACTTACACTTCACCTACTACACAATTTCCTCTGCAGATCCTCCTGATGTGTATCATAGATAAAGCCATAATGTCGTTCCTCTTTGAACTGGACAGAAGGGTGCTTTGTGTGACCTCACCCATAGTATTTAAACCACAAAAGCCTCATGTTTGACCCTCAGTTATGTCCTGATCCATTTCCCTCTTTGACATTTTGTTTTTATAGGCTAATTTGTATTTTACAATATGTGGTGGACCTCATTTAAATTATTCAAATGCGGGTATGTGAATGGATAAAGAACAAGCAGATAAATGAGTAAATTGATACCTCAGTAAATGAATAATAGAACTAAACCCAGAAGAATGCATTTCTAAAATGTTAGTGATAAGCAGGAACAATTTCAATTATAATTCATTTTTAAAAATAAAACAAATATTTCAAAAACGTGCACATGCTTCCATGAACTCACCATTTTTTCTGCCTCCTTTTTGGTTTCCTAGAGAGTGAAACAGCTTAAAAGTTAATGTTCAAAGAGCAAGTTGGAAAAAAAAAAAAAAAAGAGAGAGTTTAAAAAAATGAAACTTTTTTTCCACATCCCCACAAAAAACCACATTGTAATATTACAAAACGATGGAAGACGTAGTCTATCTTCATGTTTGGTTATGGATTTCTGGGTTAAGATATTTGTTTTCTCCAAAATAATAATTTCATTTGCTTGCCAGAAGGACAGAATGCTCATTAAGACTTTGGCAGCTTCATTAACATGTTGACTTTTTCTTCAAGTAGCATTATAGTAATAAAAGTTAAGATAGCACATGAACAGTATACAGGCACAACTAAGAGAATGATATTCTATTAGTTGTCTTCTCTGGTTTAATCTAGAACGTTAAGCAAGCAAAAAGAAAGTAAAAATATTTTCAAATATTTTATACCCTGCAGGATTTGCTGCCCTGAGAAGTAGATCACCAGCCAAACAAAGGAGATTATTATACAGCGATAGCCCCACATCGGCTCCAAATGTGCCTCTTATGGGCTACATAATTTGTGATTATCCCTTCATTTCCTCTGAGCTTTATGAAACTAACAACATTATTCTTCTTGGCATGGAAAATAGATATTCATACTTTTCTTTTTTCTTTTCTACATTTCTTTTCCTTTTTCTTTTCTCTTTTCCTCTTCTCTTCTTTTTTTTCCGACATGGTCTTGCTCTGTTAATAGCCCAGGCTGGAGTGCAGTGGCATGACTATAGTTCACTGCAACCCCGAACTCCTGAGATCAAGCCATCTGTCCACCTCAGCCTTCTGAGTAGCTGGGACTACAAGTATGCCCCGCCATGCCCAGCTAGTTTTTTTAAAATTTTATTTTTTATAGAGAAGAGTGCGGCCATGTTGCCCACATGGTCCAATACTCCTAGGCTCAGGGGCTTCTCCTGCTTTGGCCTCCCAAAGTGCTGGGTTTACAGGTGGGAGCCACTGCTCCCAGACTGACATATATTTTTATGCTTAACACCTGCCTTGGTGCCTAGCACGTAGAACACACTCATAAATATTTGTTGAATGAAAGAAACAACTAAAAAAATATTTCTGAGGGCACAAAAGTACATGTATCCCCACTGCGATAGTGAAACCTACACACAAAGACTGTCTTTGCTCCTATATTTCTGTCTTCTCATTTTGAGAAATGTTTTAGTTCTGCAGTTACATCAGGGATCTAGCAGAGCTGGGTGTGAAGTAGGGGGAGAAAGAGGCAGGGCATTAGGAGCAGGAACGTGAGGAAATAGTTTCCAAAGACATATACAGAGCCTCCCCCGGCGTTTTTGTCTCCTACGTTATTTCTTCCTTCTGAGATAGGCCTGTCACTCTCTACTTCCATGTGGGTTTCATTTTTTAGGGCCCACAAGAAAAACAGGTCCAACCTTTCCGTATAGAAAAAGTAATATTCTTTTTAGATATGAAAATAGCCTTTAGTGTTTGCAACAATGCAGAGATAATCACCTGTACATTTGCAGCATTCCAAGGAGTTCCTAGTCAGGAAGAGCCACCAACATTCTCTCTTCCTTCCGTAACGGCTGGGTGTCCTTCAAGCTCCTAAATCGATTCTTCCAGAGGCTAAAACTAAGCTTTGGAGTTGGGCTAAAGAACGTTCAGCCCAACTGAACTTCCTTAGAGTAGGGTTTCAAATATAGGTTCTGCCACATCGGGTAGTAACTCATAATTTTCAGTCGTCTTATCCAAAAATGAAAATAACAACATTTTAGTCTTGTTATCAGAATTTAATGATTATGTATGCAAAACATGGGGCACAGTATTTGATACATATTAAGTATTTGATAAAAAGTAGCCATTATTTTTACTGAGTTTCCACCTGTCCTCTTTATTTTTCCTACAATCTCTTTAGGAATGTACGTGGATGATTATGAAACTCAAGCTATCACAAGGCAACAGCATAGTGGCTAAACATACATGCCTCCAGTTAGACTTCTGGGCTTCAAATTCTAGCTCTCTCACTTCTAATTGTTCTATAAGGCAACTGACTAACATCTTGCTGATTCAGTTTCCCCATCTTGAGATGGGGATAATAACAGTTTTGATGTGATGGTTTCATTGTTTTAAAAGTCAAATGTATTAATTTGTGAAAAAGTTAACAACACCACCTGGCACATTATATGCTATCTACATTTAGTTATGGTTAATACCCCAAAATTGTACAACCTTTTTGCATCTAAGATTATTAGATTTTGGTCCAGGATCTGGTCAGAACTTAAAAGGGTTAGAAAGGAAACCTGGCCGAGCACGGTGGCTAATGCCAAATAATCTCACCACTTTGGGAAGCTGAGGCAGGTAGATCACCTGAGGTCAGGAGTTCGAGACCATCCTGGCCAATATGGTGAAACCCTGACTCTACTAAAAATACAAACAATTAGTTGGGCGTGGTGTTGGGCGCCTGTAATCCCAGCTGCTTTAACCCGGGAGGCAAAGGTTGAAGTGAGCCGAGATCGTGCCATTGCACCCAGCCTGGGGGAACAGAGATCTCAGTGTGGCAGGGGGCAAAGTGAACCCCTCAGTTAATCAACCAGAGATATGATTGATTTCTAAGGGATATTAATTCACTGGGTTTCTATGTATTTGACCCTGTTTTTTTCTTACTTGAGGCAGTTCTCGAAGAATCTTTGTGTCCACGTATTCATCCTCTTTCCTCATCCTCTGAGACACTCTTTTAGAATCGGTGAAAGAGGAAGTAGTGAGGTATTTATTGATGAGATATTCAATACTACAAAATGGAGCAGGGCAGGTAGCACCAATCTCCTATGGAATATGTAAACATTTTTTCAGACGCCAAATCCTCTACTGACTTATTAGAGGTTGGCTGACAGCTTCAAACATGAGTAGAGAGAATGACATATCAGTACAAAATTCTACTTTATTTCTACATTTTTTCATTCTGGTTTATTTGTTGACCTGTGTCTTAAATGGAAGCTTAGAGTCATTTTTGGAAAATCTCTGAACCAGTAAGATGAGGGATGTATGGTTTTTGTTTCTGTGGCGTAACATGGAGTTTCACCAAGAACACACTGGATGTGTGTTTGGTGTTGACACTGCATGCCTCTTTTGCATGTTGGTTGGCATTGCCGGTGGGATCTGTGGGGGCCTCTCACAGGAGAGAGAGGCGCATTCAAGGTGCTCTGCACGTGGTCACGGGTGGTGGAGGACAGGAGGACAGTCAGTGCTTCTGTCTTCCCGTTACCGGTAGTTAGGTATGAGGGGGGCAGGAGACGGCTTTCCCGCACCCACTAGAAATGTCAGGTGATGGTTCATAATTATCGCATTGCCTCTTTGAAAATGATAAATTAGCAGTGCAAAGGAGAGGCCATTTCCTGATGGTCCACACTTATTAACATCAAAATGTTAACTGAATGCAGACCCCAGGGAGAAACAACTTTCTGTGCATAAGTGTTAAAGGACAAAGATGGAGGAGCATGAGTTTCCACGTACCCTCCACCAGAATAAGGAAGAAAGACTCCAATGCACATGCATGTAACTCCCTGCCACACTGCGCATGCTCGCTTCCGAGGGGCAAGGAGGCTCTGCGTGCATGTAACTCCCTGCCACATTACGCATGCTCAGTTCTGAGGGGCAAGGAGGGCTCTGCGCATGCGGGCAGCCTGCCCTAAGGGAAGAATCATGGGAAAGAGGGGAGTCTATACAAGTCCTGGGATCCGGCCAGGTGCGGTGGCTCACGCCTGTAATCCCAAAACTTTGGGAGGCCAAGGTGGGCGGATCACGAGGTCAGGCGTTCCAGCCTGAGCAACACGGTGAAACCCCGTCTCTACTAAAAATACAAAAAAATTATCTGGGAGTGGTGGTGGGTGCCTGTAATCCCAGCTACTCAGGAAGCTGAGGCAGCAGAATCGCCTGAACCCGGGAGGAGGAGGTTGCAGTGAGCTGAGATCACCACCGCCACTGCACTCCAGCCTGGGCAGCAGAGCGAGACTCCGTCTCAAAAAAGAAAAAAAAGTCCTAGGATCCCAGTTAAATGGCTCTTGACCTTCTCTCTTCAGCCTTCGCGTGCATGCCCTGGTCTCTCCCAAGCGCACCTTCCTTTCCTGTTCTAAGGTCTTTTAAAATAAACTTCCACTCCTGCTCTGGACTTGCCTGGGTCTCTTTTTCTCCTTTATGCCCCTCAGTCAAATTCCTTCTTCTGAGGATGCAAGGGCTGAAGTTTCTACAGACCCATATGTGATTCCCCTCGGGAAACTGGGATCTCTCCCACTGGCCACGTTCCTAGGCCCCTGCACGAGCTTCCTAGAGGCGGGGTCCCGGGGACAGGAGCTCCCAAGCATGTGCCCCGCTCACCATGAGCAGGTGGCGCTGAGACCTGGAGGCATCACCACCAGAGGAAGGAAGGGCTCCTGTGCGCTCCCAGCCTAAGGCGAGACCCAGAGCCACCCTTGCCAGGGCCGTTCCAGACAGTGGCCCAGAGCACAGTCCTGGGGCCTGCACAGCACCTCACACAGGAGACCACCCAGAACATTAGGCTCTCTAGGAACTGCAGGGAAAATGAGACCTCTCATGGCTGTATAGCTCTGAGGTGTTGCGGGGCTTGTGGATAAGCTCAGCTGTCACGTGGAGCAGCTCAGGGGCTCTGTGGGGGAAGCTTCTCCTGAGTCCCCGTGCCTATCCACCCCTCACCCCTCCCCGCCATCACTTCCCCAGGCTCCCAGTCCCAGCGTTCTTAGGTGAGGCACCTAACATAGAAACCTTGAAATGCGTATGCTTGGGCGCAGTGACCCACTTTAATAGCTCCAATTATCTATCCCAGGGAAGTCCTGAAGCTGTAAAACTCCACTCAGGGCAATGTCATTATCTTTTCCCAGTGAAACCCCCAAACTCAGCCCATACACCTCTCTCTGTGTGTGTTTATGGTCTCTTCTCTGTGCAAAATAATTTTTGAGTAGAAACATTCTATATACTCATTACACATGAATATCTAAGTATATATAAACACCTAACTTGCATTATATGGCATGTAATGTTTATACATACTATGTAAAATATATGCTAAATAATCTTTTATTTTATGAGAGAATTTCTGAGTTGAATTCTCTTAATCCAGGGTAAAAACTTCTCCTTAACTCCTATATCAGTTATATATTTTCTTGATTTTAATCCTATAATGTTTATAGTGCTTCTACACAAAGTAAAATCTCTAATCCAGTTTGATTTTTTTTTATAAATGGTATTTTTTAGGGTTTATGATCATTGATCTTTTCAGAGAAAGCTTTTGATTTTCTTCTCCTTTACAAATACTGTTTCTTTTCTGTTCTTTTCATTGATTATAATTTTGTCTTTAGTAAACCTTCTCATGTATTTTTTTAAATAATGTTATTTTTCTAATTTTTAAATAGTGTATTCTGGAAGGTTGTTTTGTATTCCTTTCTTTTTCATTAATGAAGACATAAATTGCACTCAATACAGCTTTCGCTGAGTTGCCTTGGGTTAGAGATGATTTGTTTTTTGCTCTTATTTTCACTGCATTCAAAATAACTTTCTGCTTTTATTTCTTTGATTAATGAGAGTATTGCTTAATAATCAAGTACTTCTTTTGTTTTTATTGAAGTGAAATAAACATAACATACAATAAGCCATTTTAAAATGTCCAATTCAGTGACATCTAGTGTATTCACAATGCTGTGCAACAATAATATCTCTTTGATTTCAGAATCTGTAATCACCCCAGGAAAACAGCTCTACCCATTAAGGAATTTCTTCCATTCTCCTCTCTCCCTGTCTCTTGGTGACTGCTGATCTGTTTTCTGCCTCTGTGAATTTATACTGTTAAAAAATTTTCCAAACCTGAAGGAGGTTTTGTTTATGTGGCTTGTATCTGTTAGTACTAGAAAGTAAAACTGAGTTAAAGTGTATGTGAATCAATTAATTTATGAAAATAATTACCCTTTACATATCAACATACATATTTTTAATGAAGAAACTAAGTAGAATTAAATCTATTTTATGTTTGGTTCAACAGAAGATGGTTGAATTATTCTATTGGCTTCTGCATGCAATTTATAGCCACGACACCTTTCGCGTAGCCTCTAGAAGTATTTACTGTGTGCTCAGGAGAATAAGAGTGAGGAAGGCCCATACCATCTTAATCTTCTTATTATGAAAATTCTTTTCACCTCGGAGACACCATGAACAGTTTCTGCTCTGTCCCATTGAAGGTTTCTGCGACCATACTTTGTGAACCACTACTTAAATAATTTGTTCTTTCTGTCGGAAATTTAAAGATTTTTATTTTTATTCAAACAACTAATGAATTTTACAATTATTTACCTAGGTCAGTATCTTTTCATCCATCTTGGACATAAATGGTGAAGTTGTTCCAAGTGTAATCAGGGAAAATTTCCTTTATTATTACTTTCATAATTATGTATTCGATATCTATTTTTTTTTCTGGGAAACTGGTTATTTAAGATTTTTTTTCCTCCAGGATAGCTTATGTAGTTTAATGTGCAAGTTATGTATTTAATTTTTCTTTTTGGGTTAACTTTGAGTTACTATTTTTCACTTCTTTGCCAGCTCACTAATTTGTTCTCAGCACAGGTCACCCTCATTTTCTACTCATCTATTACGTTTTAATGCCCCCCATGTTGTTAATACCCATGAAGTCTCATTTTAAATTAGAACTAAATATCTGCAAATGTTTATTTTTTAATTTTTAAAAAATTTTAACCTTTCTTCCAATATTTTTGTCAGCTGTTTCCTAGAGTAGTAGTATTTCTCTCGTTGTTTTCTATGATGATTCATATCTTTGGCGATGTATTTTACTTAGATAGATCATCATATTTACATGGTTAATTTCTGGGGCTCAGGTCAACCAGTTGTTATTCAAGCAGTTGGAATCCCACAAGCGGAGGAAAATACAGCACTCTACATCCCACTAATGAACAGAGTTTAAGTTACATTCTGCCCCAAATGCCTTTTGCATTCATTTAATTAACAAACTTATTGAATTCTTGAATTCCTGCTCCGTTCAGGACACTGGGCTGGTGCTTAAAACGAGGAGAAGGTGCCATGGAAGACACAAAGGTGGGCCAGGGCTGAGGAGGAAATCCACTCTGGCCTCAGTCACCGTCAGACCCGTGCCCGCCTGTGCAGTCCCCACAAACTACCTATACAGGTCTTGTCTCACATGGCAGGAATTTGCTTCAAAACTTCTGTCTTTGTAAAACAAACAACTTTGAGACATCTCCTGCCTATAAATGTAGATATATTCTTTCAGATTAATGTATAAAATTCAAGTATTATTTTCAAATAGTTGAAACAGCTTTAAAAATCTCACTAAAGTGACTTTTGTAGATCAGAAACGGGGCTCAGTTGAATTATGCTTTTACTGTAACTGTTATGTGATGAAAAGAATCGTTTTTTCTTCTTGTCTGTTCAGGGCTTATTATGAATATTGGTTTTCCTTATTTTTTATTAAGTATTCTTTGAAAGAGAAATAAAATGAAATTTAATCTTTTAAAGAAAATATTCTACTTAGCACAGTATTTTAATATACTAAACCTATTATGACCGAAGAATATGTTTATACCATGTACTGTTTGTTAGCGATGAGGTAAGAGATAAAAAAGATTGAAAACCCCAATTACATTTTGAGGAAGAAGTTTTATCCTGTGCTCCATAATGCATTATTAAAGTGGCAGGAGAAACATTAACTTTTTAACCATCATGAAGAAAAAGATCAAACACGTTCCTGCTGAGCCACGACTTAATGGTGGTTTCATATTTCACGCAATATTGCTATGGGCAAGCGGAACGCTTGTATTGAGGCTCTGTCATGCTGAGAAAACTGGCAGCAAGTGGACGGAGTCTGCAGAAGTAAAGGGGCGTGTTATGTTTGTGCATTAGCAGCTGAACCACTCATGCGTTGGAGATCCAGAAGAACCTCTCTTCTGCTACTTACATTGACCCGTAGGCCGATTGGAACTGTACCGGAGAGTTTTCCCTGTTCTTAAACTTTATGCAGACCAGCTAGAGTCAGATGGCTTTTCTACTTGGAAACTATCAAACTGGAGAATAGGTTCTTTTATTTTGATAATTTGTGTTTAAGTATCAAACTACTAATTCATCATCATAATTCTTCCACTGCATGATGAGAAACTTCACAGTCAGTATTGGATCGTGGCCTCTAGGGTCTTGTGGTTTACCTTTCTTCTGTAAGTCAGCTGGTGTATAAATGCAGGTCAGTGTAACGTGTCTAATTATTATTATCATTGCCTTTAAGGAAGATTTTCTTTTTATTTTCTGGCAACTCAGTCCTGTCTGTAGCGTGACAGCAAATACGCACAGGAAATGCCGTGGACCCTGGCAAATGTAGTGGGTAATTTCATGCAAGCCTGGAGACACGTCGCTCTGCTGGCATGAACCTCTCCATGTGTGTTTTCACGTCCTGCCTCAACACCTGGAGCTTCCCATGGAGGCACAATCTTGAATTGGGGCTGAATGAGGAGGCCATGTCCCCAGGGATCCCCTCAATCAATGAAAGATGGAAGCAGGTCATTGCCCCAGCTTTCCATGTGTTAGAGGCAACAGTGCTTGTGGCTGTCTTGTGCGCTTCTTGGAGATCCTGGTGGGATCAAGTCCCCATTGCTCATACCATGAATCAGGAAATGTGCCCTTATAATATTCCTCCTTCTCCTCCTCCTTTCTCTCATCCTCGTTGCCCCTTCAATCTTGTACCTAAAATCATCTCCCAAACAAACCACCCACCCTCATGTTCTTCAATTAGTTTCCCCCACACAAAAGAACCCCAAAATAACCCCAAATTAGACACACTTAATGTTGCTAGCTTCTCTCTTTGCTCCTGACAGTGTAATAATAACCTTTTAATTTATATAGTATTGGTGCTTAAAATGTATCCTTTTCCTTAAATTGTTAGAGCTTCTATATACCTCATCCATGTGATAGTTAGAATAGTCTGAGAAGTAAAGTGGTTGTTTCCAGGGACTGTGAGATTGAGGTGTTGGGGAGATCTTGGTCAGAGGCTACAACATTTCAGTGAGACAGGATGAGAAAGTTTAAGAGCTCCATTGTACAACATGATAGCTGTAGTTGATAACATTATATTGTATTTTTTCAAAATTGCTAACAGAAGATTTTAAGGGTTGTCACTATAAAGAAATGATAAGGATGTAAAGCAATGCATATGTTAATTAGCTCAATTTAGCCATTCCACAATGCATCCATATTTTAAAATATTATATCGCACATCATAAATAGGTATAATTTGTATTTATTAATTAAAAATAGCTTTTAAAAACAGTAATATCACACTCATGAATTAGAAAATTCTAGTTCAGATTTAATACATTTTAATTGTTATATACACAACTTCTTACCCTGGTGATAAATATTTTCCAGTAGCCCATCCTCAGTTATTCTACTAATGCTTTTTGTACCAGTCAGTGTTCTGAAAAAAAAAATCTCCTTTTTTGTTAGTTTCTGAATAATGAGAACATTGAAAATTGGATACCCCTTGCAAATAAAAATGTCTCTTCAAAATGATAACTGGGTAGTAAAACTGCTTTTGATTGTAATAGTCATATTGAAGAAATGCTCATCTTTTCTAGCTGATTAAGTCACTGTATTATTGATTGTTGGTTTTATTCATTATTAAGTTGGTGGAATAGAACTCATTGGTCCTTCCATTATTTCTTTAGGAAAGTTGTACTTTTAGATAATGGAAAGCAGTAAGTATGTGGAATTGATGTTAAAACACGTTCATCGTTTATCATGAGCAAGTTCACAGTCAAGATCTTTGTCCAGCAACCAAATATAATATATATAAAATAAAGAAAATATAAGAAGACAAACTATTCAAAACAACTTCTGGAGAAAATTTCCCTGCCAAAGAAGGGTCACATTCAAAGTGTGTCACAAAACCTAACGTCTTTCCCCTATTTTTCTTGTTCTCCCTCCCTCTCCTGTATGCATCAGTGCTTCCAAAGTGCTCTTCAGTCATTTATTAAAGCCTCTGTCCCAAATTCTAAGCCCCTTATACTCTTCAAATGCAGACTAACATGACTTTTTGTTTTTATTTTTTAACAAATATATATAGCACATACTATGTCTGCGACACTTGTTGTTATTATTATTATTATTGTTATTATTTAGACGGAGTCTTGGTCTGTTGCCAGGCTGCAGTGTAGTGGTGCAATCTCAGCTGACTGCAACCTAAGCCTCTCGGTTAAAGCAGTTATCCTGCCTCATCCTCCGGAGTAGCTGGGATTAAAGGCACTTGCCACCATGCCCAGATAATTTTTATATTTTTAGTAGAGACGGGGTTTTACCATGTTGGCCAGGCTGGTCTCGAACACCTGACTTCAGGTGATCCACCTGCCTTGGCCTCCCAAAGTGCTGGGATTACAGGCATGAGACGCCACCCCCAGCCTACCATTGGAGATTTTAACAGGACTTTTAACTAATAGAACAGGTAGACATAAGTTGAAAAGGCTGTGGAGGTTTTGTTAGCCCTGTTAACAAATGTGACCTACTTGAACCATATGAAACACTTCCCCTTGAACAGCGGAAGACACAGTCCTTTCAACCGCACATGGAACATTCACTAAGATAAACTATATTCTGTGCCGTTAAAAAAAGGCTTAGTCAATTAAAAATGTTTGATACTATGTTATATTATCTTATCACAACATAATTAAACTGTAAATTGATAACAGAATATGTGGGAAAGCTCCTCGTATTTGGAAACTAAACAAAACACTTCTATATAACCCATGGTTTATTTAATTTCCAAATATAAGGAGCTTTCCCGTGGGTTATGTAGAAGAGTGTTGTTTAATTTCCAAATATGAAGTACATATTACCTAAAAATTAAAAAATTAAACTGGATGAAACGAAAACAGAAAAAACCTTTTAAAAATGTTGTGAAATAAGATCCAGTGATTTATAAAAAGGATAGCACGTCATGACCACTGGGGTCACTTTCAGGAATACGAGATTGGTTTAACATTCTTGAAAATCATTGTAATTCATAATCTTAACAGACTGGAAATTAAAAGCTGCATACATAATCACGTCAATAAATGTGGAAAGAACATTAGATAAAAATTCAGCATCTGTTTATCATGCAGCTTTTCAGCTGACTAGGAACTGAGAGAAACCTCCTGAACCCAGTAAAGGGCATCCATGGAAATTTTATAACTAATTTCTTACTTAATGATGAAAGACTGAATCAATTCCTCATAAAATCAGAAACAAAAATAATATCCACTTTTACAACTATTCAACATGTAATGAAGTTACCAAGCAAGTGCCATGAACAAGAAAAATACAGACATAGAGATTAGAAATATGAGATCCAACGTATTTATTTATATGATGTGATTGCTGTGAATTTTGTTTTAAATCTATACAAAAGTTACTAGACATAACAAGTGAGGTGGCACTGTTGCATGGTTTGAGATCACAATATAAATCGATACAAGCAATGAGCAATTTCAAAACAAAATTTTTAAAATTATAACATTTACAGAATTAAAATATGACAGATTTAGTAATAAATTTAAGAAGATACATGCAAGACTGCATGCTGAAACTGTAAAACATAGCTGAGAGAAATTACTAAAGACCTAACAAAATATGAAAAATGAAAAGGGGAGATACACTAGACCATGAATGAGAAGATGCAGGGCTTTCAAGATGTAAGTTTATTCATCTGTAGATGGTCTGTAGGATCAACACAATTCCAGTCAAGAGCCCAAAAGGATGTATCATTTATTTGTTTGTTTGTTTGTTTTTAGGAATTGACACACTAATTGTAAAATTCATATGAAATTGCCAAGGGCCTAGAATAGTCAATATGATTTAAAAAGAACAAAGTGGGAGGACTTACATAATACGATTTGAAGATGTCAATATTGAGCTAAAGTAGCCAAGGTGATGCGGGATTGCTCAATGGTATAGACGAGAAAATCCAGAGACAGGCCAGCACATACGTGATAAAATGATTTTTTTGACGAAAATGTGAGGTAATTCCGTAAAGAAGAGATAACACTTCCACTGAGGAGATGAGACTAGTTTACTGTGTTCTCTAATATGGAAATTACAATATCAAGATGCATACAACTTGGAAGATCAAGTCATTTAGAACAGTTGCTAAACCACTGAGATTTATTCTTTGTAATAATCTTATTTCAAAGGGTGCATTGGGATTATGTGAGATCATGTGCATGGAATCAGTTCCAAGGTGCAAGCGATAAAGTCCTCCACAGATCACCATTACACTTTACGTTAGTATTGAAAGAAAGGTAAAAGTAGCGCCTACATCGTAGAATGTTATGAGCAAAATTTAAGTAAAGTGCTTTAAATACGGTCTGGAACATAACCTTTCAATAAATTTAAGTTATTAGTAATAATAATCATGATAGTCTTAGTTGGAGCCACGTCTTGAGTGAATAGTCAGTACGTTCTTATGTCTACAGCATTTCTGGAATAATGATTCACTACAATCAATATTTACCTTTTATACTACCTCATGTGTGTGTTGGTGTGTGAAGTCTGAAATTGCTTCTCATCTACTTTCATATCTCCAGTTCCAGCCCATTTCTTGGTTTTCTATCCCCTAGTAACCTAAGGTAAGGAAATGAGCTTTAAATGTCGATGAGCTATCTGGACTGTCGTCATTTCACCTAAGTAAAATAATACATCAGGCTTAGTTAATACTGTGAGTTAACCAGTACATTAGTTTGCCTAATGATGATATTAATTGTGAGTTCTTTTAAGAGATTTTTTTAAACTTGTCTCTCAAAAGTTATATGAATCAACGCCTTTCACTATTACCAATAAACTTTGGAAATATGGGAAGTTCACAGTTGAAGAGTAACTAAGAAAACAATTGAAAAGATTAGCAGTTAGACTATTGAAGTTATTTGTAATATGCCCCCCCAAAAAAGTTAAGCCGTTCATTTATATTGTGCAGGTTTGTTACCTTTATGAAAGCTTTGTGGACATCATTATGTCCATAGTAATTTTAAGTATAAGTTAATTTCTTATTAAACTAGTGATTATTTCAATTTACATGATGGAGAATGTATTGTTCAGCTTATATTAATTTTTCACGTCTAAAGACAATTTTCCAGAAGAAATAGTTAGCTTCTGTTTTTTTTTTTTTTTTTTTGTCTTTCTCATGGTCAAATTATTGGCAATCATTGTTCAAATTGTGTATCACTTACAAAGGCTTAATTTTATAATTATCTGGGGTCAGCCTGTTCACATTGTCTTAAACATTTATAAAATGAGGGATTATAGAGCTCTCTCTGGATGTCCTGGACATCTGACATTTCACATTTGACTTGCGGGTGAACCGCATTAGATGGATAATTATTAGATATCTTTGTCATCCTTGTAATGTCGAAGAATAACAAAGTGAGAGACAGCGTTCAGAAACACTGATTGTGGGGATGAATTAGAAAACACAACCCAGAATCAACTGTCAGAGCTGTGGCCAACTCATAGAACTAGCTCTAATTATTGGATTGGCGGGGGAAGAAACGCAAAAACAGAATAGATCATTTGGGTATTTGTAAGAAAAGAGTTGAGAGTATAGTTTTGAAAAGTGCATTATTTTGAAATATTGTCAAGAGACAAATGTCCTGAGGCATTTTCAACATAGATCTTTTTATTTCCCACCATTCCCCAAAAATGAATCCACCAGTTATAAAGGAAAAGTCTCTGTTGGTGAATATGTTGGCATATCTGGGAATTTGCATGATAAGTATTTTTAAAGTTGTAGACAATTTAAATTTCCTTGAATATATGTGTGGTAATTAAAACTCAAACTCTGCCTAATCTAAAGGTTAAAGTGATCTGACAACATCAAAACTTTCAGGGAAAAAAAACCAAAACTAGAAAGGCTTATTTTATCAGTTGAATATGAAGAAGAATCACCCACTCAGTTAATTGTCAATATTCAGTCGTAGAGAGGAACACATCTTATTTTGGTACAAAAATTATTCTTTAAAAAATAAGGCATTATGCAAAAGTTAATTATCCGGGGCTCAAACTGACAGGTTTGATTTCTCTACTTTGCTCTCTCTTTGAAGGAGACACCTTTTAAAAACACCAGCCTGAGAGACAGTTTTCTTAACTTTTTATTTTCAAACCATTTCAGACTTACAAAAGTGTTGCATAAACAGTAAAAAAATTCTGTGTAGCCTTCACTAAGATTCCCCAAATATTAATATTTTATCACATTTGCTTTATTCTTTCTCACTGTATATTTTTCTTGAAATAGTTGAGAGCAAAAACAAGAACATGTTCTTTCACAACCACAGTATAACTATTAAAGTCAATATATTAACTCTGATTTAATATCATTGCCTAATTTTCAGACCTAATTCAAATTTTACCTAACATTCCACCATTGTGTTTTCTGGCTCAGAACCTAATTCAGCATCACAGGTTGCATTTAGCTGCCATGTCTCTTTCGTTTCCCTAAATAGGAAACGGCAATTTTTTCCTTCCATATCCTTTACACTTTTGGAGAGTAAGGGCCAATTATTTTACAGGCTGTCCCTAAATTTGGGTTTATTTAACTGTTTCTTTGTGATTAGATTCAGGTGATTCATATTTTTTTGGCAGAAATGTCCAGAATTGGCATTGTGTCTTCAGTTCATTATAGCAGGGGACCCCTGTTGACTTGTCCTATTAATTGTGATAGTAACTTTGATCTCTTGGTTACATGGGGTTTACCAGCTATTTCAAATGAAAAGTCACTATTTTTCTTTTTGTAAATAATACATATTTTTTGAGAGATTCTTTGAATCTCTGTACAGATTCCATTTTCAATAATACTTCTGTTCACTAATTTCAGCACCCACTGACTGATCATTTTTGTCAGAAACAATTGCTGGAATTCTGTTTTTTTTTTTTTAATGAAAAAAAAACAACTTATAAGACATTCTAATATAACTTAGCTATCTGACTTTTTTTTTTTTAACAAAATTGAGTTCACTCACTACAAGAATACTTCACTCTTCTAGTTCTGCAGTTGTCAAGGGTGATAAAGTGCTTTGCATACACTTTATAAAATATAGAACTAAAATTATTTAAAATGTTGATTGTACAAAGGTTAAATCAAAACAGTTGATAAAAATCGAACACCAGGAAACATCCTCAATTGAGTCATTTTTATATTATTTATCATAAGATAACAATGCATTCAGCTTGTTTAATGACAAACATAAATTCCGAAGTTGAATCCCAGGTAATGTGGGGTAATAGAGAGATTTTATTGCATTTATCTTCTCTGAAAAGCAGGATTTTCCTGAGTAACAAAATAAAACTTAATAATTTAGACCTCCCCTTAGTAACGTACTGGTGAAACTGTCACAATATATCTAAGTCACTGTGTTGTCGTGCCAGTATTTTTTAAATTAAAAGACAAAAAAAAGTATCACAATGATGTATTCATTTGATTTTATGACATTATCACATCAATTTGTGGGACGATACTATAGCTCAATCATTGCCCTTATGGTTAGGTATTGCCAAAATATTTTTCTTATCCCAGTAACTGTTTAAATAACCAGTAATAAATACAGACTTCACACATGCATTAGTATTTTGAGCGTATGTTATATTAAGAACACAGAAATTTAAAAGGGCATTAGGGAAAAGGACCTATAAATCATAAACAGTTTTTAAAGATAAACTGAGGCTAACCAGTAAGTAGAATGGCCGGACCAATGTCGCCTTTAGAGGAAAAACTACATCTATCTCTCTGTGAAGCTGAACTGAGCACATTTTCAGTCCTCATGCACCGGTGTCCTCCTGGGTTGAGGGTTATAGTCCCTGAAGGTAAATTGCTCATCCAGGCATCTGTGTAGAAATAGTCAAATGGGCCAGGTGTGGTGTGGTTCAGGTACCATAAATGTAATGCTTTGCCTTAGCAGTGTCACTTTGAGAAAAGGTGCTTGGGTTAAGGTAGCCGTCCTCTACCATTTTGGCGCCTGACACCAGTTTCTTGGAAGACAATTTTTCCACTGGAAGAGGAGGGATTGGTTTCAGGATGATTCAAGCGCATTACATTTATGGTGCAGTTTATTTCTATTAAGATTACACAGTAATATATGATGAAAATAATACAAGTCACCATAATGTAGAATCAGTGGGAGCCCACACCTTGTTTTCCTGCAACTAGATGGTCCCATCTGGGGGTGACGATCCCATCTCAGCGTGACAGATCATCAGGCATTAGATTCTCACAAGGAGCTCGAAACCTAGATCCCTTGCATGCCCAATTCACAATAGGGTTTGCGCGCCTATAAGAATCTAATGCCACTGCTGGTCTGACAGGAGGAGAGTGCAGGTGGTAATGCCAGCAATGGGGAGGGGCTGTAAATACAGAGGAGGATTTGCTAGCTGGCCCACTGCTCACCTCCTGCTGTATGGCCCAATTCCTAAAAGGGCACAGACTGACACTGGCCCATAGCCAGGGTTGGGGACCCTTTTGGTTTAAGGAATTGCGCTATATTTTTATTTTTCCTTGCGTATGAGGGAACAGAGGAAAAATTGGAATCAAAGAATTGTGTGTGTCCATGCTGTTTTAGGCAAGATTTAGCTCTGTAGTTAAAAAATAAATAAATAACATCTGGGAAAAAATCTCATTACATTCTAGTCAAACTCTGCGTGGGCTTGCAGTTGAAAAAGAGTTTAATTTTTTTCATTAAGTCTTATCTTCATGAATTACCATATGCTTATTATTAATAGAAATGTGTAGGTAGTAAAATATCCAAGGAAACCCACTGCTCGGAGAGAGAGCACTTTAAAACTAAGCACATTTAAATCAAAGCTCCTTTTATTCAGATACCTTGAGGATGCATTTAATAGGACCTTAGTGTTTCAGGAATCAATCAAATTTTATAGACTGATGGACAGAAATATTTACAATTTTAAACTTTTGAGAAATCAAAAATTACTTGAAAATTATTATCAGCATTCATTATACAATGTAGAAGAAAAGTTGTAAATGGCATAGGATGTTTCCAGAGAATCTGGTTAAAATAATATTTTGGGAATTTGTAATTCAGCAAGTCAGGTTTCAGCTAAATGTTTAATTAATACATTTGCTAGGAACTTTTGAATTGTTCTCTAGCACAATTTAAATTTTACTGAATATTCTGAATATTTTATTTTGAAATGTGCTTTTATTTCTTCTTAACTGTATACATATGAGTTATTTTTATTTTCTAGCATAAATGATAAATTTTAAGGTGATGGATATTATAATTACCCCAATTTGATTATATGAATGTATTGAATTATCACATGTAGCATGGAAATATGTACATCTATTATGCCTCCAAAAAATAAAAACAGTAGAAAAGTAAATGACAATTTGGACATATATGTAAAATATGGACAAATACATACATATATTTTAAATGTAGACATAATCTCGGGGGGAGAAGGGAGATGGCATAAGGAAGAAGCGTATGATTAGTTTTTAATAAACTTCTTGGGTTAAGTTGTGGTTTTTAAGATATTTGTTATAGTCTTAATAATATTTTAATAAAAAGAGAACTGTGTATACAACAAAACAATTTGAAAAATAAGCTACTTTAAAAATGAATGCTAGTATGAAATTTGTATTATAAAAAGCAATGTAGGTATGTTATAGAAATTTGGGAACATCTAGGAAACCCAAACAAGAAAGTTAAGGTTACATATTGATTGGCAGTGTTGTGGTGTATATGTTCTTTTTTGTTGTTGTTCTTGAATACCTATATCCACACAAAGAAACCTATGTACACATACATACACACACACACACACACACACACACACACACACACACAGAGGAAATAATTTAAATTTTACTGAATATACTGAATTATTTTGAAAGGTGCTTATGTTTTACTTCTTTACAACATACATATTATAAACATTTTTGTCATTATTTTCAATATAATTTTCAAAATAACATACTGTTTTCCCCCCACCATTGCTAACATACTGAAATACAAATTTTGAAAAATATTAAGTGTATATATAAATTCACCACCCTAAAATGTCTATCATTAATAGATATTTCAGAGTCTGATTTCTTCTGTAGGCAAAATTAACTTCTCTGTTTTTTGGTGGTAGAACTTTTTCAAAAATAATAAGCATGAGATCTTTCATGTTTGAAACACAATGACAAGCTTAAAATAACTTGTATAGTAGTACTATTTACTTTATAAAAGAAAATGTGTAAGGCGTATCTGCATTTATAAGTTTTTATATTTTATATGTAAATCTACACATCTTCAGTATTTCTGTTTAAAACATGGATTTATTTTTTATTTCAGTAGTTTTTGGGGTACAGGTGGTTTTTGGTTACATGGGTAAGTTCTTTAGTGGTGATTTCTGAGATTCGGTGCACCTGTCATCCGAGAAGTTTACAGTGAACCCAATATGTAGTCTTTCATTCCCTCACCCGCTTCCTACCCTTCTCCCAATACCCAATGTCCATTATATTATTATTATGCCTTCGCATCCTCATAACTTAGCTCTCACAAGTGAGAACATATGACGTTTGTTTTTCCATTTCTGAGTGACTGCACTTAGACTAATGGTCTCCAGGTTCATCCAAGTTGCTGCAAAAGGCACTGTTTTTTCCTTTTTATGTGGCTGACTACTACTCCATGGTGTATATATACCACATTTTCTTTATCTGCTAATTGGCTGATGATCACTTTCATTGCTTCCATGTTATTAGAGTTGTGAATTGTGCTGCTATAAACATGCTTGTGCATGTGCCTTTTTCATATGATGACGTCTTTTCCTTTGAGTAGATACCAAATGAATCTACTGGGATTGCTGAATCACATGGTAGTTCTACTTTTAGTTCTTTAAGGAATCTCCGTACTGTCTTTCATAGTAGTTGTAGTAGTTTATACACACACCAGTAGTGTAAAAGTGTTCCCTTTTCACCATATCCATGCCAACATTTATATTTTCTTGACTTTTTAATTAGGACCATTTTTACAGGAGTAAGGTGGTATCTCATTGCGGTTTTAATTTGCATTTCTCTGATAATTAATGATGTTGAGCATTTTTTTTCATATGTAAAACATGGATTTTAAAAGTTTATTCGTGATGAATTACTTTTGTGTTGGGTTCTCTTATACAGTCTGTCACTCAGAAACTATGTTAGATTGGTTTATTCTCCACAGGGCAAGAACAGTTTTTCTGTAATTCAATAAACTCTCAACAATTTATGCATCTTAGGAGATTTATTTATTCTGTCAGACTGTTGGCTCAATAATTACTATGATGGAATAAAAATCCATTTCACTATACATGTAATATTCTACCCCACCCCATTCCACACTCTCATACTCCCTGCCTATGAATATTATTTTTAAGAACTAATAAAATGTTACTGTGTTTGAGAATGATAGAGTATTGAGCATATAGATATACAGTTGTCACACTTAATGATTCACTTGCCTTCTGAAAAGGTTTACTTTGTCTAAAATAAAGATATGTTAGCTAAATATTTTACTGAAGAAAATGTTTGGATTCATCTGACGTGTCACATTAACAACAAAGGCACTTGACATAGATTGCTGAGATGAGGAAAACAACTTATGTTTGGGTCTATAATTGTTGTAGAGTCAACTCCTGCCATTCAAAGTAATTAACAGAAGCAGACTTCAAAGAGACTTGCAGTGACCTGCTGGGGCAGCCTAGCCCTTATTCGGGGTCTACAGCATGATTTCCAAGAAATGCCTGAAAAAAAGAGATGCATTGGTAGCATCGGTCCTCTCAAATCATCCCCCAACAGAGTCTGTCCATTGTTGCCGAGGAAACCTTCTCCCCATCCTCTGTACTCAATTTACTTATCCCCACCACAGATCCACTGCACAAAGACATTAAGCTCTACTATTCTTTTGAAGCCCAAATCAAAACTAGCCTACCACCGATTGCATTCAGCATATTCAGTTTTGACTCTATTACTTTATGTTGTATTATATGCTTTTTTCTTCCAAAACACAAATTATTTAAGGAACTCCAGCATGCAGTTTTTTCCCTTGTGCTCTGTAGATTTAATTTTTTTTAAACAGTAAAGCATTTTACACATGGCTTCATCAGTGACTGGATGTTACCCAAAAATGACAGGCAATGTCAATGCCCAACTTTTATTGACACAATTACCAGAAATTAATAAAATATTTATTTACATCTAACATTTTATATGCTTCACACTTTCAAAATTTCTACTACACGATCCTGTGTAATCCCCAGAATATTGTTGGAAGTCAATTAGGAAAGCATTTTTATTTTATGTTAGATGCTGGGTTTTATAGTTAGTTATTTTGAAATTCATGTGATATAACTTAATATGGTCACCGTAAGTTAGTATGTAACTAAACATTAGAACTGAGGTTTAATAAAGTTTTATAACTCTTTAAATCATAAAGTTTCTTGTGTATGCAGTAATTCGAGTAATATTTGAATTTAATTATAAACTTTAAATCATAAAATTTCCTGTGTAAGCAGTAATTGAAGTAACATTCTATGTGAGGCTCTCATGACAGAAAAATATATTACATCTTAATCAGTAATATCGTACCTGGTGTACTAATGTGGAAACTATAATGTCTGATAAGATGTCTGTAGTTATTGATATGCAGCCGTACTTCAGAGATATTGCAAGTTTGGCTTCAGATGACTGCAAGAAAGCAAGTGACATGATATTGTGGGTTCCCCAGTGCATATTAAAGTTATATTTACATGACACTGCATTCTGTTGAGTGTGCAATAGTATTATGTTTTTAAAAACATGTACAATCATCTAAACCTTCAATGACTCATCATCTTTTTGCTGGTGGAAGGTCTTTCGTCAATGTTGATGGATGATCAGTGATCAGGGTGGTAGTTGCTGAGAATTGAGGTGACTTGCAATTTCTTAAAATAAGACAACAGTAAAGTTTACCACGTCAGTTGATTCCTCCTTTAATGAAATATTTCTATATAGCATGTGTTGCTGGTTAAGAAGCATTATACCTACAGGAGAAATTCTTTCAAAATTCAGTCAGTCTTCTCTAACCCTGCTGCTGCTTTATTAACTGAGTTTATGAAATAATCACAATCTTTTGTTGTCATTTCAACAATGTTCACAGCATCTTCACCAGGAGTAGATTTCATCTAAAGAAACCACTTTCTTTGCTCATCCATAAGAAGCAGCTCCTCGTCCATTAAGATCTTATGACAGTGCAGCAATTCAGTTCTACTTCTAATTCTGTTTCTCTTGCTGTTTTCAACATGTCTGAAGTTACTTCCTCCACTGAAACCTTTAACCCAACAAAGTCATTCACGAGGATTGAAATCAACTTCTTTTAAACTCCTGTTCGTGCTGGTATTTTGACCTCTTCCCATGAATCACAAACATTCTTAATATCATTGGAATGGGGAATTCTTTCCAAAGGGTTTTGTTTTACCTTGTCTAGCTAGATCCATCAATGGACTCACTCTCCATGCAGCAATAGCCTTATGAAACATATTTCTTAAATAACAATAATTGAAAGTCAAAAGTTTTTCGTGTTTCTTGGGCTGCAGAATGGATGTTGTGTTAACAAGCATGAAAACATTAATCTCCTAGTAGATCTCTGTCAGAGCTCTTGTGTGACCAGGTACATTGTTAAAGAGCAGCAATATTTAGAAAGGAATCTTTTTCTGAGCAGTACGTCTCAACAGTGGCCTTAAAATATTCAGTAAACCATGCTATAAAGAGATGTGCTATCTTCCCGGCTTTGTTGTTCCATTGATGGAGCATAGTTGATTTAGCAGAATTCTTAAGGATCCTGGGATTTTTGTAATGGTAGATGAGCACTGGCTTCAACTTAAAATCCTGAGTTGCATTAGCCCCTAAGAAGAGAGTCAGCCTGTCTTCTGAAGCTTTAAAGCTAGTCATTGACTTCTTTTCTCTAGCTATGAAAATCCTAGATGGTATCGTCTTCTAATACAAGGCTGCTTTGTTTACACTCAATATCTGCCTTTTAGTGTAGCCACCTTCGTCACTGATCTTAGCTAGATCTTCTGGATAACTTGCTGTAGCTTTCCATCATCACTTGCTGCTTTACCTTGCCCTTTTATGTTACGCAGATGGCTTTTTTTTTTTTTTCTTAAACCCTATGAACTGACATCTGGTATCTTCAAATTTATCTTCTGCAGCTTCCTTACTTCTCTCTACCTTCAGAGAGTTAGGCTTTGGCTTAAGAAAATTTTGCGGCTGCTTTGGTCTTTTACCCAGGACACTCTAAACTTTCTCCATATCAGCAATAAGGCTGTTTTCCTTTCTTATCATTTGCATTCACTGAAATAGCACTTTTACTATATTTCAAGAACTTTTCCTTTGCATTCACAGCTTGGCTCACTGTTTAGTGCAGGAGGCTTAGTTTTCAGCCTGTCTCATCTTTAAGTATACTTTTCTCACTAAGGCCAATGATTTCTAGCTTTTGATTTAAAGTGATAGAGACATGTGACTCTTCCTTTCACTTGAGCACATAAAGGCCACTGTAGGCTTATTAATTGGCCTAATTTGATTATTGCTGTGTCTCACGGAATAGCGAGGCCCAATGAAGGAGGTAGAGAGATGTGGGAGTGACCAGGCCAGTCAGTGGAGCAGTCAGAACACACACATTTATTGACTAATTTTACCACTTATATGGACACATATGGGGCCCCCAAACAATTACAATAGTTACAACAAAAATTACTGATGACAGATCACCATAGCAAGTACAATCATATACCTAGAAGCCTGGGTTATTATGAAAGTTACCAAAATGTGGCACAGACACCAAAAACGAGTAGATGCAATTGGAATAATGACACCAATAGACCTGTTTAATGTCGGGTTGCCAGGAAACTTCAATTTTTCAAAAACCCAGTTATTTGCAAAATGCAATAGAGCAAAGTCCAAAGAGATTAGGTATGCCTGTGTATGACAATTTCTTAAGTGAAACAACCAAGTATCACTAATATATATAAGTGTTTCATGCTGATATGGAGTGTATCAAATACAGTATCTATGAAAATTCTTTCATATAATGATTCTGTTCTTCTACATTTTAAGAACGATTTCCATTTGTTCTGTTGGAGCTTTGTTATTAGTAAGAACTTTCTTGGAGACGAGTCGTGGCCATATTCTTGCTTCTTAAAAATCTTACTTCTGACATACAGAGAAAATGTGTGAGAAGGCATGTTGTTTTAAGTATTAGATGTAAGCATATTGTAGTTATGAAGCCAGTGCAATGCAAAAGAAACGAGACTAGCTTTGGAGTTCAGATACTCCATGCACTTGATTATGTGTATTACAGAGTTTAGATCTGGGTGCCTGGTTAGTTTTTTGTAAATATTACTTTTATATGCCCTCTACTCCCGTACTTATAATGTTCTTCTTGGAAAACTCAAACAGATATACCAATTGTTTTTATTTTATTTAATTAATTTATTTATTGAGACAGAGTCTTGCTCTGTTGCCCAGGCTGGAGTGCAGTGGCGTGATTTTGGCTCACTGTAACCTCTGCTTCCCAGGTTCAAGTGATTCTCCTGCTTCAGCCTCCCGAGTAGCTGGGAGTGCACCACCATGCCCGGCTAAATTTTTGCATGTTTAGTAGAGACAGGGTTTCATCATGTTGGCCAGGCTGGTCTCGAACTCCTGACCTGAGGTGATCTACCTCCTTGGCCTGCCAAAGTGCTGAGATTACAGGCATCAGCCACCGCGCCTGGCCAAATATACCAATTGTTTAACCCTTAGTTAGTGATAAAGGCAGCACTTGTTTAGGTCTGGCCTCATTACCTTTCCTTCAATTATTAAAAATACTTCAGAAAAAAAGACATTCATTTACTTTGAAAATTATGAGAACAATTTTTAACAATTACTACCGGTGTTCATTACTGATTTCAATGAATACAAGATGAAAAAATCAGTGCAAGACTAAATATGTATTTTTCTCCTCTTTTTGTACGTGTTAACTATTTTTGAAATTTTCATTTATACATAGTAGGCACTTTGGTTCAGATTAAATTGATGAAGAACAGCGGAATGATTATTCTGAGCAAGTTCATCAGTTTTCATCATTGATTAGGTAGGAGTGTAATGAAATTAAGATCATGGTTTAGCCGAGATTCTATTCAGTTATTTCTGTAAAATATGAGCTCATCTTTTTTGTGAAGTGGGTAATCATTTAATTTTAGTTTTCAAAAACATTCCTTAGAAAAGAAATAGTGGCCATGGTGTCACTGATACTCAGTGTAGAGCAGAGTGGCTTCCTACTCATTGTGGATTCAGGCCTTAGGCGAATATTTGCCATGGGTTTGCCACTTCACTAGCCCGACTGTGTGGTCCCTGCCTAGGTCCCTGGCTGGTTTTTCATCGCATTTTTCACCCATATTTACTAGGTGGCCTAGAGAAAGTAAATAAAGCTTTGTTAAATGTGAAAAAAATAGTTCAGAGCACAGCAGTATGTCCATGTTGGACTAATTGGTTTTAAGTGCAAGATCTGAATTATAAAAATAAATATAGCAGGAAAATATATAAAACCTAAATAAATCTCACCTCATTTCTCCTTTAGGATTTTTGAACGTAATTTTGCATACAAAAGGAGCACAAATTGCATGCGAAACATTTTGTAAAATAATAACTGTTTTTCTGAAATCTCTTCAATATAGAGACTAACAGTATCTTACCAGAAGCAAATCTTAACAGTTCTACACACTCCTATATTTTCTCAATGTATCCTGTTTTGCCAGGACTCTCATCTCTTTCTTCTCAAAGGCCTGCAGACTGTGGTCTTCTCTGTTAAAGAAGACCATGGCTGAAAGGGGTTGAGTGGGTGGGAGTGAAGATGTAGGCGGGAAATGCTTAGTCTATGTTTTATCTGTCATACATACAAGTCCTGATAGACTCATTTATTTATTTCAGTTAGTACTAAACTGAAATGTCGCCAAAAACAGCTTAATGGTTCAAGTAATTTAATGAAAGCTTCAGTTAACAAATAAATATATTTTAAAGTGAATAAAGCAAAATATTTTAGATTAGTCAATTTAACACGTACTCTAAATCTTGTTTCTTCTCCTTTTCTACTTAACAAGAAATTGTTTTGGAAAAAATGGAGATTCACTAGGTATTACCACGGAGGTGGACTTTAGATAAATGTATTACATTGGTAAAAATCAAAATATATAAACCAGATATATAAAGAGGAAAATAATGTTGTTTCTTTTGTTTTTTTTTAATGAGATAATTTGCCACAAGCAGTTTTTTTTTTTTATCATACATTTCACTTGTTCTATAATGTTAAACATTTAAAAAGTTTTTCAGGATATTAGAAAGCAAAAAATTTAAAAATTCACATACACTTTTAAAAAAGATTTAGTTACTTTACTAAATAGAAGTGTGTTGCTATTGGAATAGAAAATTCAAAAACATTTAACTTTACACAATAGTGAAATCTAATAACAATAGCATAAAAAAGAGAAATATATTAGTAACTTTTTATCTCCAATTGAAATGAAAACTCAGCTTCATTAACCTTTATGGTTATTAGTGGTTTATCCCATTACACTATTTTTTCTAATCAATTAACATTAGAGTCCACCACAATGAATTACGATCTTATGAGTTTATTGGACCGGCTTTTTGAGAATTCCCTAATAACATGCAAAATGTCAATATAAATGTTTGGTGAAATATGATACTGTTTGTGGATTTTTAACTAGCCACAGTACTAATTAGACTGCAATGCATTGAACTTTAATTGTGGGGCTTGATTGATTTAATAAGGCTAACATCTGCTGCTTTCCCTAGACTTAGCATCAAGGTCCTACATATCAAGGTCTTATTACCGTGCTGAGGCTGGGTTATGAGAGTGAAATACCATGAGAAATGTCAATGCAGATGGCATATGTTGCAGGCATAGCAAAACACCCAAGTGCCTATATTCATTCCTCTAGTCGCAGAATAAATGGGGAAAGTTTAAAGACCATGAGCACATGTTTAACTGAGCAACAAAACTTCTTGAGAATTCTCAACCAACTATTACTTTCGTCGATTTTCCTGCTCTTAAGTTTGACCCTTTTCAGTAACATGATATGGGACCAAAGTATCGATGAAACAGTGTCTACAGTTAGGAATATCTGAGTTTCATTCCAGCACTGTCCTCAATATATAAGCCATAAAATCATCTACTTTCAAGAATGTTATTCTGGATGTGTGTCATTCCAATAGATATGTTTATATTGAATCCTACTCTCTGATGAAATTAGAACTGAAGTCACAAAATTATTGTTTTCTCCTTTCCCCCATTTCTACATCTAAATCAATACTATTTTAATTTTTTAAAAAGTCCTTTTTAGATTCTACAGCTACAATTGGGTTCTGTGATCTTTTTTTTTTTTCTGTTTCTTTTCCTACAATGTCTGACAACCAAAATCACTTCTCCCTTTGCAACTCTGCCTTAAAGATAGCCCAGTCCTCTGCTTGAATAGGAAGTCCCATTGCCCACTTAATATTCCTTAGTGGGGTCTTAGGTGCTCCTTGCTCACCTTGTTTCCTCTGGTGTGGATTGAGATTAAAGCCTTGTAATGCTGTCCTTCTTCTAAACTATAGTCCTTTTGTTGTTTGTTTGTTTGTTTTTTAGAACTATACAAGGTGAAAAGACATCCTGAGGCACTTTTCTCTGTCTCTAACTCTTGGCGCAATGATTTGAGGCAATTCATGGCACTGACTGCTGCCTGACCTCCCTCCACAAGAAGTTTGTTAAACAAATTTACTGTAATTCAATGAAATTGGAGAAAGTATGAGCTTTTATGCCTTTTAAAAATGCTCCAATCTGATGAATTGTCAGGAGGTTTAAAAGCCATGGATTGAAAGATTTTTTTTTCCACAATACCCAGAATGGGTAAAAGAATGAATGTGACATTCAAATAGAAGCCTGAGAAATGAGGGAGGGAGAGAGAGTGGCCCTTTTCTGCTGACTTCTAGTTCTTAAATATTTTATTTGAAAATTTCACAATACCATTTATTAACAATTCAAAATGCAGAGCGTTCTGAGAAACTAACAAAATGTATTATCATTCTCCGAACCTCATTTATTTAGTGTCTTCCTAAATGGATATGAGGGGAAGATGCTTTAAAAGATGCAGACGATGTTTAGCTGAAATTATCTATGGTTACCCTGCAATATCGGCCTAGGCTTTAATGATATATGTAAAGAAAGATGTCACATTTTTAAAACTTTATCTCAGCGATCATACCGCAGTTAAGATTTTCCCTGTGGAAATTAGCACTATGGCTAGTTAACACCTTTAAATAAGATGATATTCCACAGGGCGTTTTTGCTGATGTATTTTAGGTTTTTAAGAATCCTAGCAACAATTGAACCATTGTAAATTATTTTTCTGTGACATTTGTTAGGTTTTAAAACTAGACTAAAATGTAAGTTAACTATTAAGATATCTATTACTTTATTTTGTTTTAAGTGCAAATTTATAAGAAATCTTGACCCTTGTACATGTTAGAAATGCTTGTTCCCTGGTGCCGTAAAGAAGTAGCACTTGAACATAAATTTAATTTCCTCACAAGGCCATTTTTTTCCTTTCTGCAGAAAGGGTACACTTGCCAGCAGTTTTGCCATGACAGTACACCGAACAAAGGAGACAGGGTCACTTATAACCTGACACGGCCACCCTACTGCTGTGTCCCGTTTCCTTTGGCTGGAACGGGACCTCAGATTCTGTATTTGTCCCGATTGGCTAGCAACTTAGAACTTTTGAAAAGAGGCAAAGGCAGAGGAGAACAAAGGAAGGAGGAAGTAACTTGTGGAATGGTGAGAAAGGTAAAAAGACCTTCAAATAAGGAAGAAGAACAGGCTTTGACCTAATGCTTGCTTGGACCAGTATAAGCATGCCAGGGCTAAGTTGTGTGAGCTAAGAACATAAAATACATTGATTTCTTTATTATGGCTGGCAGATATTTAAGAGTGTTAGCACAGGTCTTTGAATAAAGTTTGCTTCTAAGAGAAGTTACTATTTATTCCTAATTAGATGGGGAGGAAAGTCTTTGAAGAAGGACCTCTACTTTACTTGTCACGTATAGAATCATCATCTAATAGATACGGCAAGTATAACTGATGTTCTCACTGGAATAGAGCTTATTTACAATGGTAGGGTACTGCTTTTGTAGGTTTTCCCAGTACCAAATAAAGATAATCTTCCAAGGAAGAAAAACATGCCTAGGTAACACATACCCCCTCTCAGAGACATCTTTATATAAACCAGTGTAAGAAGAAAACCTTGCATTAACAATAAAATAGTTTTTAAAAATTTAATCATATAGGCTGTGCACAGTGTCTCACATGAGGCCTGTAATCCCAGCGCTTTGGGAGGCTGAGGCAGGTAGATCACCTGAGGTCAGGGGTTGGAGATGAGCGGGACCAATATGGTGAAACCGCGTCTCTACTAAAAACACAAAAATTAGCCAGGCATGGTGGCATGTGCCTGTAGTCCCAGCTACTCAGGAGGCTGAGACAGGAGAATTGCTTGTATCCAGGAGGCTGAGGTTGCAGTGAGCCGAGATTGTGCCAATGCACTCCAGCCTGGGAGACAGAGTGAAACTCCATCTCAAAAAAAAAAAATAGTATTTTTATTCATACAAATATGTTTTGAAACAATATACTCTTCCTTTTAAAGACAAAATAATGCAGCCACATTTATTTTTTATCTTATAACATGAAATCATTCCATCAGAATAGACAGACAACCCAGTTCCTGCCAATGGACGTTGACTTTGAATTTCAATATGCAGATTGCAGAGTCCTTCAGAGACAGCACCTGTAGCTGATTTGTTCTGTCCCCTCCAGCTTTTGGACCCACTTCTCATGTGGGGAAGGTTGAAATTACATTGTCACCCTTGGCTGTGAACATTCACGAACTTTTTCAAATAATGTCTAGTATTAAAAATTATGTATGCAGTTTGTACCTGGAAGATGAGTTTTTAATTTCAGCATTGAGTTTCTCATTGAGGGAATGTAGGGGGAAAATCATCCTGTCCATATGTGTATATGGACAAACACCTCCTTTATGTAAGAGAAACCATGTGCAGAGGCAAGAGCTTTCCTCAGCCTTGCACTCTTGTTAAGTGTATCCTTCCAGAGGGGGCAGTAGAAAGCATCTTGCTTATGTGCAGAGTTTCATCTCTCCTCACTCCAAGTCTTTCTTTATTCTCTGTGCTTTTAATTTTCTGCAATTAGTAGATGGCAATGCTGATGGCCCTGAGAGTTACAGGGAAACCAAAAATCGGTAAGATTTCTTATACAATGACAACCAATTGTTTTAGCACACAAAACCACAGCATTCATTTTATTGCAGGTTGATAAAATAATTCCAGGTATACGAAAAGAAAGATCACTGATAAGCAACAGTGGAAAGCTCCATGACATTTCTCCTACCCTTGTATAGTGACAGCATGACCTGGGGTAGGTGGAATCGCTGGGAATGCATAGAACTGGCCCGGGGGTGGGCGGGGTGGGTGGGATCTGGACCACCTTTGATTTCAGAATGGGTTCAAAAGTATTCACGTATATTAAGAAATAGCATAGATCCAAAGAGCAGGAGCAATTTAAAAAAAAATCTATACCTTCTTTAAACCATTTTTATTGTCATGTATACTCTTATTACTTCCTTCTCCTTCTTATGACATCATCTATTATATTGGTGGATGGAACTACTTGTAGATCTGAACTTAGTACAGTACCGAAGCCTACAAACGGCCGTGAAACCTGTGAATGCAGCTGGGCAGTGCCCCCTGTTCCACTTAACTGCATTTTTATTTCTACAAAAAGATTGAATTAATTCAGCAGTTACTGGTTTTTGAAAAGTTAGGACTCATTGCTTGTGCTGATATTTCACTGCTACCTACACATTTTTTTATGCACTTTAAAAAGGGCAATATATCATTTGTTTACCACTCAGTCCTGGCAATTAAAAGAAAAATACATTCAAGAAGTTGAATAATCAATGTAACATTTATATCACAGCATATGTAATTATGAGGCTGTATTAATTATACCTACTATTTCTATTTTCCTTTCAGTATTATTACATTAACATCATTCTCATGTTCTTTTCTGAGCTGCTTCATTGAAATGTAAATGTCCAACAGGCAATTAAATCTATAGATAGTTTATTTACCTTTGTATGTCCTTTATACTTTCATAAACTCAGGCCTCCTTGAATAAAGTGGGGAAATTTAAGAAAAAAATTGATGCTATAATTGTTCATCAATTAGAAAAGATAATATTTTAAAACCATCATATTCTTCAATATAAAAATTATGTTAAATGAACTTAAGAAATTAACAGATAATCTAACAAAACAAAGAATTTGATGTAAAATGATTTTTTAGGTAACCTTCGACTCTCATATTAAGAATGTTTATGAAACTATTTTATAAAAAAGTATCTGCCAAACATCACTGAGAGACATATTTTTAAATTTAAAACTAAAATATTTGGTAGATTTGGTATTTTTCTTAGTGTTCTGCTTATACGCAATCAAATTAGCATCTTCTTTTTTTTCTGCTTAACAAAGGTAAAGAAAATATTAATTGTTTTCTTTTCTTTTCTATTTTGAGATGAAGTTTCACTTGTTTCACTCTTTCGCCGAGTGTGGAGTTCAGTGGCGTGATGTCGGCTCACTGCAACCTCCGCCTTCCAGTTTCAAGCGATTCTCCTGCCTCAGCCTCTCTAGTAGCTGGGATTACAGTGATGCACCACCACGGCTGGCTAATTTTTGTATTTTTAGTAGAGATGGGGTCTCACCATGTTGGCCAGGGTGGTCCCAAACTCCTGACCTTGTGATCCACCTGCCTCGGCACCACAAAGTGTTGGGACCACAGGTAGGAGCCACTGTGTCTGGCTGTATTGTTTTCTGTTATACAGTGATACCTTTCCTTTTTCCATTGAATACTCATAAAGTTCTTATAAAGTCAGAATAATTTTCATGCTGTCTGGCACCTTAATAATTATTAGCTTATGTCTGCTATATATTTATTTGTAATTGTTGGAATAATATAAAGAAGGTTAGCATTTATTTATTAGAAGCTGTTAGATATAATATCTCTAATAAATTATAGCTTCAAAACTTTATGACAACCCTATCTTTTATTTATAATAATTTATATTATTCTCAGTTAAAAACGATAATAATACCTAAAGATAATTACAATAAATACTAAATTACCTCTTATAAAAACATAAAGCACAAAAAGTACTTTTAAAGATGCCAATTTGGCCGGGCACGGTGGCTCACGCCTGTAATCCTAGCACTTTGGGAGGCCGAGGTGGGTGGATCACGATGTCAGGAGTTTGAGACCATCCTGGCCAACATGGTGAAACCCTTTCTCTACTAAAAATACAAAACTTAGCTGGGTGTCGTGGCACATGCCTGTAATCCCAGCTACTTGGGAGTCTGAGGCAGGGGAATTGCTTGAACCCGGGAGGCAGAGGTTGCAGTGAGCTGAGATCACGACACTGCATTCCACCCTGGCTACAGAGCGGGACTCCATAAAAAAAAAAAAAAAAAAAAAAAGGTGTCAATTTAACTTGAATTTAATTGCGTTTTCAAATGTGTTTCACATAAAAGTATAGGTCAATTAATTGTTTCTAATAATATGCTTTTCATAAAATCATATTTTAAACAACTGATAAAATTAACCAGAAATAAATGTTAGAATAATCATCAAAAATTAAATCAAAAAAGAAACAATTATTTGCTTTTTGTAAGTGAAAAATAATAAAGAATTTAGTATTAAAATACTAATGAAATGCAACACATGTATTCACTCATTCAACAAATATTTATAACAGACTCTATATTAGCTACTGGTAATATCTCAACAAAAGACAGAAAAAATCTTACTGCCCTCCTGTTTCTGGTGAAAAAACATAAAATAAGATAAGATAAAATAAATAGTGTGTAATAGATTGAAAAGTTATAAGGAGAAATACAT
This sequence comes from Homo sapiens, assembly GCF_000001405.40. Taxonomy (NCBI): domain Eukaryota; kingdom Metazoa; phylum Chordata; class Mammalia; order Primates; family Hominidae; genus Homo; species Homo sapiens. The sequence goes on along the minus strand of NC_000008.11, from coordinate 3,926,293 downwards.
GGCACAAGGGGAGTATTGGTTAGAGAGGACATGGATTGTGATTTTACCATTAACACATAAAAGAGGAAATAAATCAACATACGTTATTAGTACTTAAAATCATGTCTGGGAAAAATATGACTTAGAAAGTATACATAAACCCCCACCTATACACACCACAAGTGTGTGTGTGTGTGTGTGTGTGTGTGTGTGTGTGTGTGTGTGTGTGTGTATGGTGTTTGTGTGTGTGTGTGTGTGTGTATATGGTGTTTGTGTGTGTGTGTGTGTGTGTGTGTGTGTATAGACAAATAGACAATTAGTTTCATAGGGTAAATTGGGTGACTGAGGTTAAAGGTATAAGGAAAAGCCTTTACTGCTTGGCTGCTGTACCTTCTACATTTTGTTATGCAGATAGTATATATTTAAAAAATAAAACTTGAATAAAATAAATTAATAAAGGTCCCCAAATATCTTTCACTGCCCGTATTAGTTGGTTTTAATGCTGCTGATAAAGACATACCCAAAACTGGGAATAAAAAGAGGTTCAATGGGACTTACAGTTCCACATGGCTGGGGAGGCCTCAGAATCATGGCGGGAGGTAACAGGCACTTCTTACGTGGTGGTGGCAAGAGAAAAATGAGGAGGAGGCAAAAGTGGAAACCTCTGATAAGCCCATCAGATCTCATGAGACTTATTCACTGTTGCGAGAATAGTAGGGGAAAGACTGGTCTCCACGATTCAGTTACCTCACCGTGGGTCCCTCTCACAACACCTGGGAATTCTGGAAGTTTTGAGTGGGGACCCAGCCAAACCGCATCAGTGTCTTACCACCCAGCATTATGAACGTTATCTTTTGAACTGTATTTCAGGTTTAACTGTATAATTTAAATATTATTTCTTTCATCATGCTTTTATATTTTAAAGTACACTTAATATTAAATTGTCATTTGAATATTTCTAATTAAAATAGGATAGCATATAATATATAAATGCACAAGTACTTTACTCTGATGCTTCACCTCTTGGGTTATTGTAGCAATCGCTGAAGCACATTCCCCAAATGCATTACTTATAGGTCGCTGTAAAGCAAAATAGCCCAAAATGTAGCAAATTGAAAACACACACATTTCTTTTCTCATAATTTCTATGGGTCAGGATTTGGGAAGTGGATTAGCTGGGTGGCTCTGCCTCAGGCTCTCTTTACTGACTGGTAAGAAAGAATAAGAGAAGTGGGGCAGGCATAGCCATAGAACAGATGCAGAGACCCACAGTATCTCTAGGCAGGATAACTATTTAAAGTCTTTCTCTTACCAGTCAGCAAGGACTAAAGAAATACTGCTTCAAATGCTAAGAAAGCAATGCAGAACTTCAAGGAAGAGAGAAAAAAATAAAGGAAATATAATGGTACCAAAATAGCAAAACAAAGCACCAGTACCAAACCCTAAAGAAATGAGAATTTTTGAACCGCCTGACAAAAAAATTAAAATTATCATCTTAACTTCAGTGACTTACAGGATAACACGAATAGAGAGTTGAAGAGTACCAGAAAAACAAGATATGAACAAAATGAGTAGTTCAACAAAGAGGTGAACATTATAAATATGAAACAAAGAAAATCTGGAGCTAAAGAGAACAATGATTACACTGAAAAAATTAAAGAAGTGTTTAAACAGCAGACTCAACCAATCAGAAAATAGAATTAGTGAAATATAAGACAGATCATTTAAAATTATCCAGTCACAGGGACAAAACTGATACACAATTTTCAAAAATGAAGCAAGTCCACCGAGCTTCTGGGAAACCATCAAGTGAATCAATATATGTATCATAGAAGTCTCAGAAGAAACAGAGAAAGATAAATTTCTTAGAGGAATAATGACAAAAGCTTTCCAAATCTGGAGAGGGAAATGAATGTCTAGGTATATGAAGCCCAATGAATTAAATGCAGCTTGAGCTTTTAGTGATTCTCATTGAGACACTTTAAACTGTCAAAAGTCATAGACAAGAAGGAATATTGAAAGCATCAAGAGGAAAGCAGTTTACAACATATAAGGTATCCCTACAAGAACATCAGCATCTTTCTGAAGACCAGGAAAAAATGGATCGATATATCCAAAGTTATGAAAGTAAAGAGCTGCCAACGAAGAATGCTATACTCAGAGAAACTGTCCTTCATAAATGGAGAGATACAGATTTTCCCGCATCAACAAGAGCTGAGAAATTTCATCACCACCAGATATACCCTGCAAGAAACGCTAAAGGGAGTCCTTCAAATTGAAATGAAAGGACACTTATTAGCAGCAAGAAAGCACAAAACTTACCTGTAAAGGTAAGTGTATAGTCAAATTCAGAATATTCTAATACTGTAATAATGGTGAAAAATCTAACTCTTTTATGAAATTTAAAGGACAATATATTTTAAAAATAGCTACAAGCAAAGAAAGACAAATACTGCATGATTTCACTTATCTATGGAATGTAAAAAATTGAAACTCAGACGCAGGGAGTAGAACAGTGGTAACTATGAGCTTGGTGAAAAGGTGAAAATGAGGAGATGTTTGTCAAAGGGTATAAAGTTTCAGTGAGACAGGAAGCATAAGAACTAGAGATTTATTGTACAGCATGGTGACTACAGATAAAAAGAATGTATTATATATTTGAAAATTTCTAAGAGAGTAGAGTTAAAATTACTGAACCACAAAAATGGTGAGTATATGAGGTGATGAGTATGTTAATTAGCTTCATTTAATTATTTCACAGTGTATCCTGTTCTGTGTGGGAAATGCGCAAGGTGAGAATAAAAGACACACACACAATACCTTTAAGGGTAAACATGTCCCACATAAATGGCAATGCAGATATAATAAGCAAATGATCCAATAAGCAAATTAATATAATCAAATTGACAAAATAAGCAAATGATATAATAAGGAAATTGCAATGGGAAGGGGACAAGCGAAAAAAATATACGTATGTGGATGTATGTGTATATATACATACATAAACTCCCCAAATGGGGAAGGGACAGCCTGGGCTCCAGAGTCAGACACTCCACTCACCAGACTCTGGAAGATTCACCACCAGACAAGGAAACAATAGCCTGAGCTCCAGAGTCAGCCACTCATTAGTGCACTGATGAGGAGAGGTCTCATGAAGCTTCGGCGTGGTCTGGGACCCTAGCTCTCTTTTAATGAGTTGTTTGGCATGAGTCCCAGTCACAAGGGCCCTTCGCAACTGGGCTCCAGGAACACAAAAGGGTCAACTTGTTTTTGCAATTGTCTGTTGTTTTTCAATAACTAACATATAAGAATAGATGGAAATAGAGATTTCTCTGAAACAGCCCTGGATGAACACCTCAAGGGGCTCACACAATCTGTTTCGGTATTTGTTGACCATTATTTGTGTTCATGTTCAGTTGAGTTGAAATTTAATATTTAACTTTTCCTCCACATATCCCAATATCTGAAGGCCATGTTGTACACCATGAATATATAGAATTTTATATTCATCAATTAAAAAGTTTTAAAAGTACAGACAAATGTACTAAAAATAACCATACCTACAATAATTGGTTAATAAATACAAAATATAAAAAAGATGTAGATAGTAATATCAACAACATAAAATACAGATTTGGATGAAAAGCACAATTAAAAGTTATTTTTATGTGACCAAATTTACATTTTTATCAGCCACAAAATAGACTGCTTTAACCAGAAGATGTTTTATTTAATCCTACTTGTAACCATGAACAAAAATCAAAAACTCTAGTAGGTATACAAAAAATAAATAGAAAAGAATCAAAGCCTATGAATACAAAAATTATCAAATTATGAAAGAAAATGTGACGAGAAACAGAACAGAATATATTAATGATGAAACAGTCCAAGAAGTTTAATAACATGGCAGTAGTAAGTTCTTACCTATTAATAATTACTTTATGTGTAAGTTACTTAATTTTTTTTTAATCCAAAGACAGAGTGACTGAATTGACATAAATAAGATCCAACTATATGCTTTTTAAAAGGAACTCACTATGTTTTTAAGAGCACACATAGGTTGAAAGTAAAGAGATAGAAAAGGATATTTTTATGCAAGTGGTTAAAAAGAAGAGAGTAGGGTTGTCTATATTTTTATAATACAAAATAGACATTAGGCAAAAACGGAAACATGAAAGAAAGAATGTCATAATATAATGATAAAGGGGTCAATTCATGAAAACTATATAAAATTATATATGCACCCAACATTGTAGCACCTACATATATAGCAAATATTAACAGAACTGGAGGGAAAATAGAAAACAATATATTAACAGTATGGAACTTTAATGCACTGCTTTCCAAAATAGACATGTCATCCAGACATCAAATCAATAAGAAAGCAATGTACTTGGCCAACAGTATGGACCAGATGGACCTAACAGACACATGCAGAACCTTCCAGACCACAGCAGCAGCATATACATTTTTCTAAGCTTTGCACAAAACTCTCTCCAGGATAGATCATATGTTAGGCCATAAAACAACTCTTAACAAATCAAAGAAGATTGCACTCATATTTGGTAACTTTCCTGACTCTTATATTATGAAACTAAAATCAGGGAGAGGAGGAAAATTAGTTTACAAATATGTGAAAATTAAGCAACATACGCCTGAACAACTAATGGGGGAAGGAAGAAATCAAAAGGGAAATCCAAAAATAGATGGAAATAAATGAAAATGGAAACCAAGCACACCAAAATAGATGAAGCAAAAGTGGTTCTAAGAGGGAAGTTTACAGAAATGATGGCCTACATGAAAAAAATAAAAAGTATTTTATATAAGCAACCTAACTTTACACCTCACTGAACTAGGAAAAGAACAAACCAAGCTCAAAGTTAATAGAAGAAAGAAAATAATACAAGTTAGATAATAAATTAAATAGAGGCTAGAAAGACAATTTAAAGAAAAATGAAAAATACTGAAATTTTATGAAAGGATAGACAAAAATGATAAACTCTTATGCTAAGTAGAAAAGAGAAGACTCAAAATTAGAAATGAAAGAGGTGATACTACAACAGGTATTACAGAAATATAAATACAATACTGTAAAAATTATATACGCAAAATGTGGATAACCTACCAAGATGAATCGTAAATAAACAGAAAATCTCAAAGGGTCAATACAAATAAGGGAAATGTGTCAGTGTTCAACCTTCTTTCAAAGAAAACCCATAAATAGATACCTTCACTACTAAATTTTATCGAACATTTAAAGAAACACTAAACCAACGCTTTTCAAACTCTTTCGGAAACCTGAAGAAGAGGAAACATTTTCAAACTTATTTTATGAGGCCAGCAGTACCCTCATGTCATATCTAGATTACATTACAATAAAAGAAATGTACAGGCCAATGTCTGTAATCAAAATAGATGCAAAAATTCTCAACAAAACACTAGCAAAATGAATTCAATAGCACATTAAAGGGATCATACACCACAGTCAGGTGAGATTTATCGCTGGGATGCAAGGTTGTTTTAACATACGCAAATCAATAAATTGGATATACCCCACTAACAAAATATGATATTTATAGGATCATCTCAATAGATGCACAAAAAAGCATTTGACAAAATTTAACCTATTTTCCTGATAAAAGCTCTCAACAAATTATGTGTTGAAGGAATATACTTCAACATAATAAAGGTCATATATGACAAGCCCATAACTAATGTACATAATGATGAAAAGCTGAAAGCATTTCTCTTTAAATTTAAGAACAAGACAAGTTGCCTACTCGTGCCAAACGTACTTAATATAGTACTGAAAGTCCTAGCCAGATCAATTAGGAAAGTAAAAGAATAAAAGGCACTCAAATTGGAAAGTAAGAAGTAAAATTTTATGTTTTCAGATGTTACAGTCTTAGAAAAGAACCTACAGTGTCCACACACACATAAACACACACACACACAAACACACACGCATCTTAGAAAAATAGGGCACGTACGGTGGCTCACTCCTATAATCTCAGCACTTTGGGAGGTTGAAGTGGGTGGATCACTTGAGCCCAGGAGTTCAAGAGCATCCCGGGCAACATGGTGAGACCCTGTCTTTACTAAAAATATGAAAAGTTAGCCAGATATGCTGGCACACACCTGTAGTCCCAGCTTCTCAGAAGACTAAGGCAGGAAGATCACCTGAGTGTGGAAAGTCATGACTTCAGTGAGCTATGATTGCACCACTGCAGTCTAGCCAGGGCAGAAGGAGTGAGATCTTGTCTTGGGGAAGAAAAACAAAAAAGTAAAAAACAAATTTGGTAAATCCTAAAGTAAAAAAAAATTTGGTATATTCACAGATTACACACTAAAAATACAAGACTCAGTTGTGTTTCTGAGTCAAATTATCTGATAAAGAAATTCCCAAAAAAATCTCATTTTGAATGTCATTAAAAAGAATGAAATACTTGGGGAAAAAATAACCAAGGAGGTGAATGATCTGTACACTGAAAATTATACAATATTTATGAAGAAAATTGAAAACACAAACAAATGGAAAGATAGCTTGTGTTCCTGGATTGGAATAATTAATATTTTTAAAATGTCCATACTACGCAAAGTCATCTACAGATTCAAAGCAATCTCTATCAAAATTCCAATGGCATTTTTACAGAAATAGAAAAAAAAGTCATAAAATTTGTATGGAATCACAAAAGACCAGAGATAACCAAAGCAATCTTGAGCAAGAATAACACAGCTGAAGGCATCACATGTCCTGATATCAAATTATATTACCAATCTTCAGTAATAAAAGCAGTATGATACTGTAATAAAAACAGACACATAGACCAATAATACAGAATAGAAAGCCAGAAAGTGAACTCAAGCAAAAACTGCCAACTAACCAAAAAACATGCCAAAAAGACACAATGGGGGAAAAGAGAGTCTCTTCAACACATGAGATTGAGACAACTGAGTATGTCGTGCAGAGGAATGAAACTGGCCCACGTGTTAGACCACACAAAATTGATGAAGGACTTCAGTGCGATACCCAAACCCGCAAAACTCCTAGAAGAAAACATTTTTTAAAAATCCTTGGCATAGATCTTGACAATGATTTCTTTCTTTTTTTTTTTTTTTTTTTTTTTTTTGGATATGACACGAAAAGTACAGGCAACCAAATCAAAAGAAGTGGGACTACGTCAAACACAGAATCTTCTGCACAGCAAAAGAAACAATCTGCAAAATGAAAAATCACCCTATGGAATGGGAGAAAATTTTTACAACCACATATTTTTTAAAAATATTTCCATAGGTGTTTCTGGAGCAGGTGGTATTTGGTTACATGAATAAGTTTTTTAGTGGTGATTTGTGAGATTTTGATGTACCCATCACCCGAGCAGCCCACACTGAACCCAGTTTGTAGTCTTTTATCCTTCACCCCCTTCCTATTCTTTCCCCACAAGTCCCCAAAGTCCATTGTGTCATTCTAATTATCTTTGCATCCTCATAGTTTGGCTCCCATTTATGAATGAGAACATAAAATGTTTGGTTTTCCATTGCTGAGTTACTTCACTTAGAAGAATAGTCTCTAATACCATCCAGGTTGCTGCAAATGCCATTAATTCATTCCTTTTTATGGCTCAGTAGTATTCCATCATATAAACATATACCTCAGCTTCTTTATCCACTCGTTTTTGATGGGAATTTATGCTGGTTCCACATTGCAAACCACGTATTCAATAAGGGGTTAATGTCCAAAATATATAAGAAATGCATATACTTCAATAGAAAACAAATTAAAAATTAAAAATGGGCAAATAACCCAAGTAGATATATCTGCAAAGACATACAAACGTCCAACAGGTATATAAAAAGGTGATCAATATAATTAATTATCAGACAAACGCAAATCAAAACCACAAGAATATATCACGTGATATTTGTTAAGATGGCCATTATATAAAAATATATGTGTTGATGCGGACGTGGGGAGTAAGGAACTCTGTACACTGGTGGTAGGAATGTAAATTGGCTCAGTCCTTATGAAAAGAGTTTGTAGGCTGCTAAAAACAACAACAACAACAACAAAACCTACCATATGACCCAGCAATCCCCACTTCCAGGTAATTATCCAAAGGAATATGAAATCAGGATTTTGAACACACACTTTCACTCCCATGTTTACTGGAGCAGTATTAGCAATTGCCAGGATTAGGAAACAACATAAATGCACTTTGATCAATGAGTGGAGGAAGAAAAAGTGGAATATACAATGAAATATTACTCACCCCTTAAAAAAGAAGGAAATTGTGCCATTTGCAACAGCATGCGTGAATCGGGAAGACATCGTGGTAAATGAAATAAACCAGCTTAAATTTTAAACATTTAAAATTAGATTTTAAATGCTTAAAAAACACACTGAGAACTTTAAATTTTCATTTAAAATTTAAGTAAAATTTTAAAGGCCTAAAATTTCTAAGCATGTAGATCTTATGTGCTTTTACCGCATACACACAACTAATATTGCTAATGGCAAAACTAATAATAGGTGTGGGGGGAATCTTTGGCAGGTGGTAGATTTGTCTGTGGCCTTGAGAGTGGTGACGGTTTCTTGGATATATACGTATCTCCAAAACAATCTAGTTCATGGCATTACATGTGTACAACTTTTTGCATGTTAGTCGTACCATAATAAGCATTTTTAAGAAAAAGGTAAAATATAAATATGAAGCCAATCTGAACTTTATGTCAACTAGTTGCAAATATTTTGCAGTTTCAAAAAAGGCATTCCAGGTAATAAAACATTGGTTGTTATTTGTGTATTTTTTATGTTTATCTTTTAACAAAACTTTCAGCCATAGTAGCAGGAAACATATTTGTGCGCGCATGAGCGTGTGTGTGTGTGTGTGTGTGTGTTTCGTGGTATAACCAAACCCAAACTCCTGTAGAGGGAAGCAGTGCGGTGAAGTGTCAAAGTGAGTGGACTGTATATTTGCAAAACTTAGCATTCACTCCTGAGTCTGCTACTCCCAACGCATCACCTAATTTCAGGAACTTCAGTTCGTTCATGCATTCAACAGCATCTCATAGGGTTGCATTTCAACCACAGGAAATGGCTCATGGGAAACACTTAGCTGAGATTAAGCGCTCCATAAATATTTGTAATCGTTATTCCTCTGTGCAGCAGGTAAGCACTCATTCTCTTAGACTATCTTTTATGACAAAGATTTTAAAATTCTGAATAAATGCCTGGTGTCTTAAGAAACATATTATGTAACATTCAAAAAGAGGAAGAAAATAAAATCAATTTCCAGTATCAACAATGCTTCATAGGGCAGTGGAGTTTCACCATTTTGCCTCAGGAAATAATAAATTGGAGGAGAAGGAGCAGCTTTTAGTGCAGATTATTATTGTTATTTTTTTTAATATGTCTCATTCTGTTTCATGACCAGCTAGGGACTTTTATTTGGTGCAAGTCCTTATCTCTCTAACCTGCAGCAATCTAAGACCACCCCCCATAATCCATCTTCACAGCCTTATTTTGAAATTGAGCCACTCAATTATTTTTTCTCTCTCTAGTTTTGTGACACATTCTCAATGATTATCTCTACTTTTTCTATCCTTGTGATGACTGTAGTAGGAAACTACACAGATTACATCAGGTGATGAATACATCCGGGTTGCCTGTCAGGGTACCTATATGTTAAGTACATTTGCAGTCGCCTACTAAAGTTCATATTGTCACCTACATAATGTTCATACAATCATACTTCATACATAATCGGATACTAAATGTTTCAACCTAGGCGTATCCCTAAGTAGGAAGTTAATTCCCATTTATCAGAAATTTCAAGCTAACAAGCCTTTATGTATAAGTAATGTCATGGTTCATATAAGTGTTTTGTCATTTGTTAAGACAGTTTTAGAAATTGAGAGTTATTTCATCATGGAATTACCTCCTATGTACAGAGGCTTGATATTCGCTGACAATATTCATGCTATATAAATATCCGGCGTAGTGCTGAGAACCAGGTGATTTTATATGAGACTTTCCACAAAAGCTTTCTGGGCTCCTGTTGTATATATTTTCGTTACACCTCATAAATGACCGGTTGGCAACATCTGGAAGTCTCTACTTCATCATTGTATTGTTGTCTTCAATTTCTTGAAGTAATAGAGCATTTAGCATTTTTTTTCACTGAAATTTACTGGCATGTTATCTTTTTTGACAGAATCATTGAGTCAAAGACTTCCAGAGCAGACACTTTGAAAAGCAAAGTATTATGTTACCCATTTGTCTTGTGTCTGCAGTGACATTTTCCAACTAATTGCATTATATCAATCTTATGAATCTCACTCAAATGCTTCCAGTCCGTTTACCTAAAGTTTGGAGCCAGTTTATGTAGGTCTGCCTCAGATAACTCACACAATTTATATGATTTTAATTTCCTTGTTATTCAAAAACAATTGAAAAGTTTCTAGTTGGGGTGATATGTAAAATGTTAAACCCCAAAATGCATACTAGATAAAGGTAATAAAATTGATACGAAAATTTTAGGAACAGATGCAATGGAAAGCGAGAGAGTTCATAATTTGAGCTGCTAGCTAAATTAACATTCAACCAATAAATTATAACAGAGATAGAGTTCTACATTATTAGTAATATCAGTTATGAAGTACACAGGTTCTGTTAAATTATATATAATTATATGATAAGCTTTTCAAGTATTTCAGTAATAATCCCATTAAATGTCTGACTATTATAGAATTATTCATCCTTGTGTTTAAAGCTAGAATTTGATCGTATGATCAACAAAGCCCAGTAATGTCCTGTTTCATGTCATCCTTTCCTGCACTTCCCTGAAGTCCTTGAAGTGATCTTCCGAACCTACTATGCTAAACTCTTTTTTTTTTTTTTTTTTTTTTTGAGACAGAGTCTTACTGTGACGCCTAGGCTGGAGTGCAGTGGCACTATCTAAGCTCACTGCAACTTCCGCTTCCTGGGTTCAAATGATTCTCCTGCCTTAGACTCCTGAATAGCTGAGACTACAGGCACACACTACCATGCCCAGATAATTTTTCTATTTTTGGTAGAGGCAGAGTTTCGTGATGTTGGCCAGGCTGGTCTCGAAATCCTGACCTTAGGTGGTCCTCCTGCCTCAGCCTCCCAAAGGGCTGGGATTACAGGCGTGAACTACTACTCCCAACCTGCTACCTAAACTCTTGACTCTTCATTATTAGGGCTTTTCCGATCCCTAATTAATTCAATAACTATTCCCTGCCTGTATCCCTGGATGTGTTTGTAGAATCTCCTCATCCTGAACACTTGTATGTGTGTGAAGGCTGTTCCGTTCAGCTTTCATCACACTGCAATACTGTTTTGTTGTTGTCGTTGTTGTTGTGTTTAGTTCAATCAGTAATTATTGAGTTATTCTGTAAGATTTCAGCAGCATAAAACTGAAAACTGTATGATGTGTGCCTTGGAAGTATTTGCATTCTAGCATAAGGACACTCAGTAGAGTAGATGTCAATAAATCTTTGTTGAGGAATTAACCGGTAAAAATGAAGAATGAGCAAAGACAGATACATGTCAAAGGATCTGAAAAAAAAAGGGATAGTCAAAAAATAAAGACATCTTTCAACTTGACAACCAAGCTGACTTAATGCATACTAACGTGGACTAGGTGGAGATCTGAGAGACAGAAAGAGTTTCATTTAATGCTAGCTGGTACTATTTTCTTAATTTATTTTATTTTAAGGAGTAAACTGCCATTTCAACAGTGGAAACTATTGATACTTTAGTTAGGAGCTACAAAAATTAAACTTTACACAGATTGCACACACACTGTCCTTACTCAAAACATGATATAATAATAATTAGCGTTAGAAATAGAAGATTTAGAACATGGTTGTCTCTCCTTTCTTGCACCAAACATCTTTATCTGTACCCGTATGTTTTTACATCTATCCAACGTAATGGGACACATCCTGATACCCTCTAGGCCCCATTCTCTTCCTCGTTCTTAAAAACCATGAGCTACCTGTGACCCTTTCTCTCCAAAGTATGCAACCTCTCTAACTAGCTCTTATCTACTCTATTCTAGCCCTTTTGCAGGTGCTCAAGTTACTTACCTCTTTTTGGGGGTTAAAAGTACTTTTTCTTGTTTTCTCTGACTGAATTATTTTTCTCATCATACTCTATTCATATAAAATTCTAACGCTGAAGACAAGGCACTTACATAATTCAAATATGACTCTTTATTGTGATCATTTCCACTTAATATTACTTTTTCTTTAACTTAGAAGTATAGAGAAGGGTTTCAAGAATAACAAAGTATTACAAAATTTAAATATTGGCTAAAGTACTTTCCTTTATCTGAAGTCAAAAGTGATCGTTAATTTATTTGAGTCCAAAACTGGACTTTATACAGCTGGACAAAAAACAGTCGAGGTAATCATAAATTATATATACACACACAGGAAAGTCAAGGTGATTAGACCGTCTGAGTTGGTTCTAATACTCTAGTACTCTGGTGCCCAGCATTAAGATACAAGTTGTTTATCTCTTTAAGAACTCATCCTGTGACCCACATTCCTTCCCCACTCCTGCCTTCCCTGCATGCTTCCATCTAAACTTCCTGAAAGTTTGCATCCTTGATATTTCGATGGCCCTGACCCAAATGTCTCAATGCTGGATGACTCCACCACTTCCCTAAGTACATTCTTGCCAGATCTGTGGGCAAATGCACTGGAACTCACTGACCGTATTCTTTGTTGCCTTATTATTACTTGCACCTAGGGCTCGCTCCATCCTTTCTGAAACACATTTTTGTTCACTTCTGGGACACATTCCAAGGGCTTGCTTCTTCCAGTCTGGAGGTTACATTTCCCTTCGCTGGTTGCTTCTGGGACACATCCCAGTGGTTTGCTTCTTCTGGTCTGGAAGTTGCATTTCCCTTTGTGCTTGTTGCTTCCTCTGTTCTGATATCGGATTGGCCTTGGATTCTCACTCCTGAGCAGGTCGATGGTCCTCACAGGATCCTTTGACAAAAACCTCCCCATGGCTTCCATTGTCATTCTCGTGCCAAGGATTCCTGAATGTTTATTCCAACCCTGATATCTGTTCTGACCTCCAACCAATATATTCGGTTCTCAACTCAACATCTCCCTGTCGATGTAACATGGATACTTCAAATTTCAAGGTGCCAAAACCCCACATGACCACTGCAACACAGACACACACCATCCAAAAGCTCCTTTCCTAGTGCTGCCATGTTGCCCTGCTGCTAAAGTCACGATTCTCTCCACGCCTTAGCTCATTATAGTCACCAGTGCGTAGGCTTTCCTGTGTCTTCCTCACATTTGGTTACTCCTCTCAATCCATGTTCACACCCTGTGTTCTCTTACCTGAATGACCACCATAGCTGCTGATTAATTGATCTTCATTCACTCTTACATCACCATCACTACTACGCCCCCTCCAGAACTCTCAACAGAATATAATTTAAATCATAAAATCCTACCATGTTTACTCTAGCTAGCATTGCATGCCTTCGTGTGACCTTGAGCTACAAGAGCAGACTGCAGTCTGCCTCTTCAGGCTCATCTTGGACATTTCATCCCATCAGTTGTCGTATTCTGCATGTATTTCTCAGTTTATCAAACATGCTCCACTTTTTTCCACTTGAGGACGCTTGTAAACACTGGGTGCAATTCACCTTAGCTCCTTCTCTCTCTTTTCTATCATGCTTCAACTTTCATCTCCAAAACCACCTTGGCAGAGAAGCTAAGATTAACCAGCCCCCTCTGTTATGTATTTCCATTGTATGCAATATGTTTCACTTGAGGGTCTAGGAGCACGCAGCCTCTCTGGTTTAGGAATGTCTTCCCTGGTCTACTCTAAGTAGAAATCGTCCCACCCTATTTGTCCCTGCACCCAAATTGGCTAGAAGATTGCCTTGAATGTAGTAAATCCTAAATACATGTTTTGACTGAAACCAGATTGATTAGTACGTATCAAATATCACTAAAATATAAAATATTCACCCTCCGTATATTGTTTTTTGAATAATTAGTGATATTTCCCAGTAAGTTCATGCCCCTATAGAAGTATGTCGAATCAGAGTTAGAAAACGATTTCTCTGAAATCATTACAAATTCATGAGAAATGTGAAGTTCCCATTAATCAGGTTAAATAAAAATAGAAAATCAGTCTCAGAATTGGACAAGCTGTTATATTTATTGATTTAGGGTTTGAAAAGACTCAGTCAAATATAAAAGGTGGTTAAAGAAAATATACTCCATATGTGTCTATATGACAATTGGTGATCCTTTGAACTATTTTTATCGGTTCAGGAAACTTGTGGGAAGATGTAAGATTCAGGTGGACATATAGGGAAAACACATAGAGGAGAATCCTTTGGAAAATGATGGTGAGAAAAGATAACGGAGGTAAGAAGATGGAACACAGATGGGAAGGAGAATCTTTTGTTTGTGGCAGTCTAAGAAAATGAGTTTAATTAGACAGAATTTACAAGTTTCAGTCTATTGAGAAATGAGGCTGGTGAGATGAGAGATTTCTGATGGAAAAGTCTTAGAATAAAGGAGGAAGTTCTGGAGTTTGATAGGCGAGCCTGGGAGTGCTTATGGCAGCTCCGACAAGCAATGACATGTGAAAGAGGTGATTATGAAAGCCACTCCTAGTTATTAATCGAATTGGATGGCAGAGAAACTGGAAATATAAAGACCAGCTGGTGTTATATAGCCTTCGTTTTCTTCTTCTTCTTTTTTTTTTTTTTTTATTTTGAGACGGAGTCTTGCTCTGTTGCCCAGGCTGGAGTGCAGTGGCGCAATCTTGGCTCACTGCAGGCTCCGCCTCGCGGGTTCACGCCATTCTCCTGCCTCAGCCTCCCGAGTAACTGGGATCACAGGCGCCCGCCACCATACCCAGCTAATTTTTTGTATTTTTAGTAGAGATGGGGTTTCAGTGTGTTAGCTAGGATATATAGCCTTTCAATAAGGAAAAAAAAAAGGATCTATGATTATAGAGACTTCAGTTAAACAAAAGAAAAATGACCTAAAGAATGATGTGATTTGATTTTGGAATGAGCATTCAAGAGAGATGCTGACATCTAGTCCCCAGAGACCCGTCTGGAAGCAGACACTTGCATTATATGATTTTCTGAGAGCTCTTTGAGTCCTGTGATTGGCAACCTGTCCAGTAAACCACAGCTGCCAAGGTGATTTGACAGAATTTTCTGGTCATCTCCAATTTCTAGAGTTCTGGAGTGTCCCCAGAGGGCTAGCTGGGCAGCCCCTGAATAAGTAGGACTTGGCCACATCTGTCTTGTAATAGCTACAGAAATATGCCCAAGAAAGCGTTCCTGGTCGTGATCAATCAAGCTAATAACAGTTCTGTGTAGATACTGTGTAGGAAGCACTTATTTTTCCAGTTCTCTTGAAATTCATTGCATCCAAGGAAGGCAGAAATAAGATAGAGATTTGGCCTGTAGCATGCACTCTCCAATAACAAGTTATATTTGTAATAATGTACTCTGGAGAGAAGGCACTACAATCTCTAAAGAAGCACCGAATTCGTTGTGTTTTTATATCCTTAATGGTCTGAAGAAGCATATGCAAATACAAAGGGGAAAATAGATTATAGATTTAGCAATATCAGTCTGTTTTCTTATTAAGCACAATAGCTTTATATTAAAATCATCTGTCTTTTGCTGTGTTAGAACCCAAAAATAATGCATTCATAATACTGTCTGCTCAAGTTATTCTGAAGGCACCATTTGAATCTGACTTCTTTGTAAAATTTGTATAATGTTTACTTGGTTCACTTTCAAAATATAAAGTGAACAAAATAAAACCTGAACACTTAAATTTCGTGATTTTATGAAGGGATTAAGCGTCTTGACGGCAGACAGGGCAGCATCTTCAGAGTCTCTTCCTGGTGCATTCTGTGGCCTCGGTGCACCTGCCACCCTGTCGTCAGTTTGCAGGACACAGGCATGCTCTGAATTCCATCATATTTTCAAACGTGGTGAGAGAGCTGAGCAGCTGGGAAACGCCTCTGACATATTTTCCTCCCCACCCCACAATTCACTGAACTGCATGAACATTGTTTTCCGTGCATTATAAAATTCCTTGTCCCCCGATGTAACATGTGTCCGACATAAGTTGTAAGAAAAGCTCACACACTGTTATTATCCACAGTTGATGTTCCGTTCTCCTTTCCCCAATGCCATGTTAGCAGCTGGTCTTTGCTCTAGTGATGCCTCTGTTTTAAGAGAAAAATAAAGAATTATTTACCTTTATTTATAAATAAATGGAGGAACATTCTAGTTACTCCCAAGTGTTGTCTGCATATCAGTCAAAAAGCCATTTTTTCTTCCTTGTCTAATTAGAGTCCAAGCAGCTTTAATACAGGGCTTAGTCTTTTAACGATTTTGTACCCATTCCATCAACTTGTATACAGCAGGACATACGTGGTGCTTCTATTACAATCACCATGCAAAATTGTGATGAGAATTATTAAACACTTTTCAAATTTGTCGAGTTCGTATTAGCTCCAGAGTCAAGACCCCCTTCCCTAAACTTTTGCCTTTGCTACACAAGCCGCAAGAATTTCGAAGGAGGAATGATGATGTTAGGAAAAGGAGGGTTCCCAGGTGACTCTTCACCCATTCCTGCAGCACAAACAAGCTCCTGAGCCTAACAGAGGGCCTTATTAGAAGTTTTCCCTCTATGCCACGAAAAGGCACCCACCTCCCTAGGGTTGAAATACCTGGGGAGAGCGACCACGCTGTGGGAACATTCCTGCTTCTGGGAGAAAGCTCTCTGGATATTTCCGCACTGCTGTCTCAGGAGCACGCCGTGTGTTCTGCCTTTTTCTGCGTATCCTGCCCTCGGCACCCTTGAGCTCATTTTTCCTGTAGATTTGGTCTGGGTTCCTCCTGACGAATGTGAGTCAGACTGGCATTTCCCAGCAAGGATGCCCACACGAATCACCCTAGGAGAAGTAAAAGTTACAGACTTCAATGAGGGAAAGTGCCTCAACACTGACACCTTTTGGGTCTACATCTCCTCCAAGCCAGGACGAGGTTGAGAGGATAACTGTCTCAGCCTGTCACATCCACAAATCTTAGCTACAGCCTGACCCAGTCTCCAAAGGACCAATCACGATCCACTTCAAGCCTCTCCAGAATATTGCTTTAGTTGTCTCCAGCCCAGTGGACTTGTTCACTAGAATTCTCCAAAGGCCTTCTCAGCTGCTCCCCGCATTTCACCCACAATGTGAAAAAGAAAGGCAAGCCTCCTACAGTAGTGAAGGAGAACACTGTAGTAGTGAAGTAGTAGTGAAGGAGAACAGTAGTGAAGGAGCCCTGTTTGCCAGCGCTTGCAAAGCAAGATAGATGCATGAGTGATCTTCCTCTTAGGGAAGGTGTGTTATTATATTACCTCACAGTAACATTTGAGAAGTCAAAATGTCGTTGGTCCTCACATAGAGATCCTGTTTCAAATAATAGCTAAGAATCCAGAATTGCCCCTAATGCCTGTAAGCCAGTTTGGTGCCTTTGGAAGGTATATTAATAATATCTTTGAGACCTCTGGCCTGCTATTAAGCGATTGCTTCACCAGAGTTGTTTCATGTTATTGGAGTAGGCCCTGCAGAGCAATTACAAAAAATAAGACAGATTTTTTTTTAAGCAATGTTCTTAAAAGTATGTTCCAGGGATTAAACAAGGGAGAGGCAAATGTGAGCTCCATAGCTACAAAAGTGTTTCCCTTAGGTTAGGAGTTTTTTTGTTTTGTTTTGTTTTGTTTTTTTACCAGGGGATACTGGATGTGTAAAGGCCCAGGGAATGTGTGTGCACCGAAAATCTGCGAGCAAAGTTTTGTGCTTACATTCCCACAGAATGCTGATGCAAATTTATCAGATTCCCATTGGGAAAATGTATCCATAATGATTAATAGCATAAAATATTCAGTAAAAATTTTGTTGAAATCTTCACATTTCCTTTCATGATATATGCGATGTTGGGAAGATTTCTTGATGAACCTGACTCAGCTTTCTCATATCTCCTAAAATTGTTATGCAAATTAAATTTGATAATGACTATTATGTGCTTAGTATCTAGCCTGGCCCATGGTCATTGATGCATAAATGCAGGTTTATAGTGATTGCCATGTATTTGTTATTCTCAGAGGGGCTCCATAAAGCCTCAACAGACATTAGGGCTTTGACCTCCAGTGACTGCAATTTGAGAGTCAGACTTTGGGGTCAAATACCTATGGAGTCCTCCTGGTAGAAAGAGGAAACTGTGAACATATCAGAGCACATTTCTGGCCCCAGCAAATTACCACTCTCCCCACACCCCCCAAAAAAATCAATCAGTGAATGCATGTTGTTTCCAGAGGACAAGAATCCCTGAAATATTCTCAAGAAGAGAGAAAGTTATTTGCCTGGACCGCAGAGCACAGAGTTGATGATGAGAAGAACTACGGAAGAGATATCTTGGGCTGTTTGATACGAGCAGCGGGTGATTCTAAGAGTCAGTCTGTTACTGACTGACACAGGCAGGTCTGAGATTACTCACATAACACTTCTCAGGGCAGCAATCCACAGAAGTCCACATTGCTCTCAGGATCTCTGCCTGAATCTTCCTAATACAAAGTGAAAGGTGGCATCTCATCAATGAGCCTGAACTTAGGCTTGTTTTTCATGATGTTGGCCTGTACCTGGCACAACCACTGGTAACTCACACTTGGCTGGGCCATTCCTTAAAAATAAAGCAAAGATCTGCACAATTCTGTGAGATGATACTTAATAGGCCACTGTAACATTTTTTACCATACTGCCTTAAAGTGTACCTCGACAGCTTTGCTTTATCTCTAAAAATTCTAAGGGGAATACATAATAAAAGACCTAAATTACCCCATTTAGATAATTCCCAAAAAGATTGAACTTATTTGTTTTTTCTAATTATAACTTTTAGAAACAGCAAATATGTACCATCCACGTTAATGTCTTCTTAAAAAGTCTTAAAAATGCATGTAAAGACTTACGATCAAATTGAATATATTTTTCCACTTTTCCAAGAAATTTTTATTTGCTGTATGAGATCAGATCGCTGATTCAGGTAACATGCGTGTGTGCCGTTTAAAGTAATACACAACGTAACATGAAAAGTAATGTTTATGAATAGTGGGAAGCCGAAGAAGAAGGGATTTTGAGTCATGGGATGTGATTACTAGCTACGACATTTGGAAACTTTAGTAAGCTCTCCCAGCCATTTTTCTCATCTATGAAAGGGCAATATGAAGACCTTCTTACAACATGTTTGAAGCGTTTCAGTTGTCTGATAACTGGTATTACCCAGCAGTACTCTGATGGGTAAGGTTCACTTGTCAAGTTCAGGATAATGTTGGAGCTGCCTAGAAAGACTTGGTACTAATACTTTTACTTTATGTACAAAATGACAATGCTGTCCTTCTTGATATATGCCTATGTATTCATATATATTTTGTCTGTATATATGTTCAATATAAAAGTCATTTTTCCTCTTGTAGGAATTTACAGTATCAAAGATGAGGAAAATCTATCAGCCAGTGAATGAATTCACATTTTTTTACATAAAACATAGTTATTTTCTCTCTGCTGTGCAAGGTGTACTTTGCAAATCTGAAAAAAAAAAAAAGCTTAGGTTTGTTAGATTCTAGAGTATTACCTTTTATGATGATATCCCACACCTCATGGTACAGCTTATATTTCTGCCTAAAACCTTGTCTTCACTCTTTACAGTGAGCACAACCTTGTTTTTTCATTCTCTTATCGGATACACTTTGTCCATTATGTCTTTTCAGAATTCATATCATGATTTCTAAGGCATTAAACATTACTATATATCATGTTCGTTAAAAACAGATTACATTTTTCACAGGATATTTCTAGACCATACTATAGGTGACTCAGGTATACTTGGGATTTTGAATTAGTACACCAAATTGATGTTTCATGGGGTTTTTTTTTTCCCTATGACAATTGATTTTATTTGAAGCAGCACACATTGTAACTTAATGCAATGCTATGGCATTTTGTGGTCACAATCAAGATAATGAAGCACTTGTGATTCACTTACATTAACCCATATCACAAATGCAGGTAGTATGATGCTTACCTGGTACACTGTGGGGTGGAAGGAATTCCCACAGCAACTCTGAGGTTAGCATCATGGGAAGGAAAGAGAGAGCATGTCTGTGAGTCTCTTCACCTCCTCTCGCTATTTAGGGTTTTGAAAAGCGGGGAAAATAAAAAGAACTCCAGGCCTAACAACCATCTGGTAAAAGAACAGGTTTGATAAAATCAAAAGGTATGGTTGAGGGGCACCAAAAACATGGTTATAAATTGGCCCATTGCAAAGGAGCAAATAAATAGTAAGAGATCAGAAACCTTCTGCTAAATTGGGTCCACAGTCCGGAAGGAACTAGAATGCCAGGCCCAGATGTTTGGACTTTGTTAACTACAGTAGAGGGTGGTGAAGAATTCTGAGCAAGGTTTAGGGTGATGAGCATCCAATTTTAAGACGAGTCTATTATCTGCGTGGACTTGGATGTGGATAAGGAGATACTGAGTGTGGTTCTCAAAGAGTGGTTCCTGGACTGGCAGTATGAGCATTGCCTGGGACAGTGCTAGAAATGTAAATTTTCAGTCACACTGAAGTGGAAACTCTGGGTGTGGGGTCCAGCCATCTGTGTTTGCACAAGCCCTCCCAGTGAGATGGGAATGCATGCTGAATGTTGAGAAACGCTGGGTAGCAGGTGCACAGAGATCTTTCACACGTAGGAAAGTCACCGTCATTGGACCCGTGTTGGGGGGTCTTACATTGCACAGTGACTTGACGCCACCTGCCTGGTTAATTGTGGCCTTACCAGTATTTACAGTTACTAAGAAAATCTAAAGAACTTTTTTTAGATGATCAACTTTTATGTTGGATTTAAGATCAGGTACCTGTCACTAACCTTCTTTAAGTTATTCAGTGAATATTTTCCCTAACTCTTGTATGAAAGAATATAATCTAAATATTCCTTTGTTTGAAAAATTATATTATGCAGAAAAAATATTATCTTTTATATGAACATATTTTTTCTATGTTTGCCTGTTATTAATCATTCTTTAAATGGAAGGATTCTCTCTGAATTTCTTGGAAAATATTAAAATTGCCTCAGTTTCCCTACAGACATTTGGATACACATAGGTCCTATGGAGAAGGAACCACAGAGAAAATCAGTCACCAGTACAAGTTCTAGCTGAAGAGTATTCTATATTTGTAACTTGGTACTTCTTCCTCTTTGACCTTAAATGTCAGATAAGGAAAATACGTATTTTGGGGCTGGGTGCAGTGGCTCACACCTGTAATCTCAGCCCTTTGGGAGGCGGAAGCAGGTGGATCACTTGAGGTCAAGAGTTTGAGACCAGCCTGGTCAACATGGTAAAACCCCATCTTTACTAAAAATACAAAAATTACCTGGGCATGGTGATGCACACCTGTAATCTCAGCTACTTGGGAGGCTGAGGTATGAGAATCACTTGAACCCGGGAGGCCGAGGTTGCTGTGAGCTGAGATAGCACCACTGCAGTCCAACCGGGGTGACAGAGTAAGACTTCATCTCAAAAAAAAAAAAAAAGAAAGAAAACGAGAAAGAAAGAAAGAGAAAAAGGAAATAAAAAATATATTTGAGATAATTTAATTCCCAACTCTCCAAAGTGTGTTTCACATACAACAGCTTTGGTATCACCTGTCAGTTTCTTAGAAATGTGGAATACCAAGCCGCACCGTAGAACAACCATGGCCAAATGTGCATTTACTGAAATCTCTGGGACATTCCTAGACACACTCAAGTTTGAGAAGCACTAACATAGGTCCATTGCAATAAAGAGGTTTCCATTGCAATAAAGAGTTAGTGTGAATCTGTCACATATTTTCTATTTGTAGGACTGGGCTTGATGATGTTGGGATGAAAGAAAGGGGTGTCCTCCAGGAAGAACCTATGATTTGTTTGGTAAGGGAAGGTGCTATTCGTCTCTACCCTAACTCAGCTCCTGATATCCATAAGTTACTTCAGAATGAGACACAGGCCGGTTCTCCAGAAACATGTATTGTAGCAAAGTGAAAATAATATTTATCCAAATATAATTACAAGGCCGAATTACTTCATTAGGCATAAACAAAATAATGTACAATCTTTGACTGAAGATATCACACCTGCAGGAAATCAGGGCTGCAGGAAGTGACATTAGACCCACCTAGATAGGCAGATAGGACGGTAGGACATTAATCAAGAAACTACAGAACAAGGTATTCCAGGTTTAATCCAAATGAGAAACAAATAGTGAACCAAAGAGGTACATGGTAGTGTGCCACGTGTCCTGTGGAGGTAAAAAAATATATATATATGGCAATGACTCCCTAACAAACAAGACCACTAAAGAGACCTCAGAGCTCGAAGAAAACATGACCCATGGAACACTGATCCGAGAGGCTCAAATGTGGACTCAATTGGGAGGTGGCAAAGTCCATCACCTGAAAGTTGATGATGTCCTGTTGGCTTCTTTCAGGATGCTGTATCTGATGTGTAATCACATCATTAGACAGCCAGGGTCAATTTGTAAGGAACAAGAACCTTATTTTCTGACACATTACTCAAAGTTGCCAAATAGAGTAGTGAACTAAGTATGAAGAAAAAGGCACCGTAATATTCTACACATTGAAATTCAGAAACAGGACAAAATGCCGGCAATTACTGTATCTGTATATGAGAAGCACACTTCTCTGCTGTCGATAATACCACTTTAGACTTTCTTGAGAGTAATATTTTACATAATGTGTATGTTAATATCACATTAATATTAATGCTCTGGCATTGGAAAGCTTATGATAATGACATAGTGCAATTGTTTTGTTGAACCCTGTAGGTTGAGTACATTTTTTTTTTTTAGCTGGACAGATTAATTCATCCTGGATATTCTAAAAACACATGGGTGGGACAGAGGCAAGAAAACCAGTTCTGACCCGACATGGCAGAGACAAGGAGTAAATTTTAGAGGCCACTGGTGCAGAGTCACACTGAAGGGTAAGAAGAACACTTAATACTCAATCGCTAAATGGAATGCAGAGCTCATACAGGTTTCTCCAAAGTGCCAGTAAGAAGGTCTCCACCTAGCTCAGCAGACAAGCAGCAGCAATACAGACAGCAGGCAGTTATCCAATCCAGGTGGTCAGCTACACGCTACTTTAATAACACAGAAACGTGCATTCATCGTAAGACTAGAAAGAATAAAACAATGCATGTTCAGGAGGTCAGAGTCTACTGAGTTCAGGGAGGTAGAGCTGGAAACTGGAGAAAGAGATAAGTGGTTAAGATCAGGATGATCAATGGCTGTTAGATGGAAGGAAAGTTGGATGTAGCTACTATTTATTCAGTATCCAAGATGGGCCAGTCAGTGCATTATGTAATTTAATTCTCATAAAATGTTGCAAAGTAGACAGCTCTACTCTATTTGATACAAAGAAATGTGTACCTCAGCAGGGGTCTCTAATCCCGGGGCCATGGACTGGTACCAGTCCACAGCCTGTTAAGAACCAGGATGCCCAGCAGGAGATGAGTGGCAATGAGCAAGAATTACCCCTGAGCTCTGCCTCCTCTCAGATCGGCGGCGACATTAGATTTTCATAGGATCGTGAACCCTACTGTGAACTGAGCATGCAATGGATGTAGGTTGTGAGCTCCTTGTGAGAATCTAATGGCTGATGATCTCAGGTGGAAGTTTCATCCCAAACTATCCCCTGCCACTTGAGTCCATGGAAAAAAAAATGTCTTTCATGAAATTGGTCCCTGGTAGCAAAAAAGATGGGGACTGCTGCCTTAGGAAGATCCAACAATTTGCCTCAGATCACATGTTTTTGTAAACAGAAAAGCCAAGATTTGAAACAAAAAACTCCTTACTGGGTAATAGTTGGAGTAACAGGATTTGACAGTAATGGGTGAGGGCATGACTTAATCAATGGACCCTAGAATGTGGGTTGGGAGGTGGTCAATGGGCTGAAAATCATAGAAAATGCTGAAGTATCAGAAGTGAGATTCTCCATTTTATTAGTAGCAATGTTGCTACAGTGCTTGAAGATTGTTGTGTTACTTCTGTCATATTAAGGCTTAGCAATGTGTTCAGGCTGGTTTTCAAGACAAATAGGAATCTGGCAACAATCTGTACAAATCATTGCAAAAGAAGAACAACGTATAATAAATGGAATAGAGTAAGAGGAAAAGGAGGGAAAGAATAAGAGAAACAGCCATTTAAAGCCAATACTAAGCACTGAAATACATGTCTGGTCCTCTTGTTCATAGTCACACATCATGGCATGAGATCTAAAATGATCTAATGGGAAAAGCACTAGAGAAGAGTACAGTATAATAAAACCATGGTAATATCAGGATGCAAACAAAGAATACTTGTGAACACCCCAAGAGCTTAATAAACCACACTTTGACGCCAGAAATTATGTTGGCTTGTCACATCGAAAAGCGTTAAGCCTACATAAAGACAGTTGTTCCATTCTTTGCCATTTCAAAATCTAATAAAGTTGTTAAACAGAAGTACATTCTGTGAACATAAATTGGAGGAGCCAGATACTGTTTTACTTCGGTGGTTTTCAGAGAAACTATCAAAAGATCTGAGCCCCAAGGCTCTCCGAATGAGGACTCTACTTTATGAGCAAACGTGATCGGCAGGTTGGTGTACATGTTCCAAAGCGTGGCTCCCTTGGTTCAGAACTGACAATGCATGTGTGAGATCTATCAAGTGGAAAATAATTTGAAGTCATTAGAGTAAGACCAAAAAATGCATCAGCACGGATTTCAGGGAAGATGAAGGTTTACTGAAATATGCCCATCTTCACTTCCAATCAACACACTTTGAAAAAAATTAAATTGGAGATTGGGTTGAAGCTAGCAAGAGTGTCACTGATGCAGAAAGAAAAAGGGAAAAAGTGGAAAAATCAAAGAAACCTCAGTACAACTGGAAAAGAACATTACTAAGCATTTGAAATAAAAATACTATTGGCCAGGAAGAATGATCAATAAATTCTCTGCTTTTGCATGCTGAGGATATACTATTTCTCCACGGTTATCAGTACATTCATGACCCTCCCCCAAAAGTATACACACATTAACCTTGGACTCCAGGTTATAAATTATTTCTTTACTACAAAATCGTTATTAAAAGCCATCTTATTACCAAAGTAATGTCAATAATGATAACACTATGACAGCTAGCAATAATGAAAAATCATAAAGTTTCAGGCTCTGTTCTGTCCTTTATAGACCTTCTTGTATTTAATAATCCATAGTGTTTGGATGCACGAGGACTCAGATCAAGCAAACGCCTGAGCACGGCATGCAGCTGGCTGAAAAAGTAATGCTCGGAAATGAGAAGAGCAAGCTCTGGAACAGAAGGCTGCAGTGTCAACCAGCTGCTGTGTCACCCAGCTACAGTGTCACCCAGCTGTACTGTCACCCAGTTGCGGTGGCAGCTAGCTATAGTGTCACCCAGCTACACAGTCATCCAGCTTCAGGGCCACCAAGCTACACTGTCACCTAGCTACACTGTCACTCAGCTACAGTGTCATCTAGCTGCACTGTTACCCAACTTAGTGTCACCCAGCTACACTGTCACCCAGCTAGAGTGTCATCCAGCTACAGTATCACCCATCTGCACTGTCACCTAGCTTCACTGTCACCCAGCTGTAGTGTCATCCAGCTCTACTGTCACCCAGCTACACTGTCAACCAGGTACAGTGTCACCCAGCTGCACTGTTATGCAGCTGTGCTGTCACCCAGCTACACTGTCACCCAGCTGCCCTGTCACCCACCTATACTGTCACCCAGCTGCACTGTCACACAGCTGTGCTGTCAACCAGCTACACTGTCACCCAGCTGTAGTGTCATCCAGCTGCACTGTCACCCAGCTACAGTGTCACGCAGCTGCACTGTCACGCAGCTGTGCTGTCACCCAGCTGCCCTGTTACCCAGCTCCACTGTTAACACTGTCACCCAGCTCCACTGTCACCCAGCTGCACTGTTACCCAGCTACACTGTCACCCAGCTGTGGTGTCATCTAGCTGCACTGTCACCCAGCTGCAGTGTCACCCAGCTACAGTGCCAACCAGCTGCACCATCACACAGCTGCACTGTCACCCAGCTAGTGTTACCCAGCTACAGCATCGGCCAGCTGCAGTGTCACCTAGCTAGTGTCACCCAGCTGCATTGTCAACCAGCTGTAGCTGCAGCTCAACAAGCCCAGTGGAGAGCAACTACCCTTCCCATGGGAATTAAGTTATAAATATTTTACACATTAAAGACATGTTTTAAGCAAGTTCTTAAGCTCAGGGTTTGGAGTAAAGGAACTGAAGAAATGGACATTTTCAGGACACAGTACCTGTGGTAGGGTCATACTGAAGGGTGCTATCCACTGTCACCTTCCAGTCAGGTCAAAACTGTGCCCTGAAAGCTGGTCATACAGCCCTTCCAACTGCTAACCTCAGCCAGCCTACCAGGACAGTTGCTCAGTTATTTGTCATATTTAGCCCAGATTATAACAAAAGCCACCTTCTTGTCTAGTTTCTCAGCCTCCAAAACCTTTTCCTCTCACTACATACTTATGTTGGAGCTATATTGATCCTTGAGAAACAGAAATTTTACAACAACAACCTTCTTTTTAATGTCCTTAGATGTTTTTCCACTTCCTTATGACAGCATCCAAAATGAGGGTCCTTCCAGGTCTAGTTTCTACCCACCTCTGCGGTTGGATCAATACCACCCCATCTCCCCACGTACAATCCCTGTGGCCAACATGTTGAAGTAATCAGCATACCCATATGGGTCATGTTCAGTCACTCTTTGTGCCAGGGCGGAGAATCTGTCCAGCAAACTCACACCTGCTCTGAAGTAGCACCTCTTTTGCAAAGCGTACTTGAAAGTGCCATTTCTTAGCAGGGCGGGGAGCTCCTTTCCCTTGGCTGCCCACACTGGTGCCAACTTTCCTGTGCTCTTGTCCGTCCTGTGTTCATTGTTGATTGGCCTCCTGTCCTAGGCCGTAAGCACCTTTGACAGTACTGGCAATCTTTGTGTCCTTGTTACCTAACATGGCGCCAGTCAGTACTTATGCATTAAAACTAGAGATGAACCCTTCTCTATTTATTCCTCATTTTATTGACCTCAATTGTTTTCTTTTCCTGGACGCGTACGACCTTTGTGGCTTCTAGCACATATTTTAGCACTGAAATATGTACTGTATGGTCCCATTTGTTTTTTATTTTTCCCATAAAATTTTTGAGGGCAGAGGTTCTTGAATAGAGTCACTACAGTTTAAAATGACTGTAACCCCTAAGGGGACCAACAGAGTATTGGGGCTATCAGCTATGTCCTGAGAAATCAATAAATAATTGATGATTTATTAATTAAATTTAGGGAAGATGTTAATGTTTTAGAGAAGGTCTTCCTCAAATATATATACAGTGGTTCAATAGCAGAAAAGTAGGATTTTCTGCTCAGGAATTCCTACACCTGTCCATTCTGAACTCTGAATGAGAAACAAACCAACAAATACCAGGTCTGCATGTGGATTCAAAATGAGTGATAGGTGCACCTTTGATTTAGTAAACATTCAGCCCCCAGGCAAATCTTTTTTCTATCTTCATATTCCATTACAGGATAGATTTATGTTTATTGTGACAACCCAAAGATATGACAGACTCTCAGGTATTCTCTGGAACAGTAGGTTTTGTACAATTATGATGCGACATCCATAATATTATTCAACTTACTTGATGACATGTCACACAAACTTTAACACTTTATAATGGCACTTGATTAGTAACTTTTCTTTCTCCCCATAACAGATCATGCCATATAACAGAGAGTTTACTACACACATAGCTCACATAACATCAGAGTAGTTGTCCTTGAATTGTTCAAATGTTGGGTTTTTTTTGGTTGTATTCATGCTTCTTGCAGTAGTTTTATCTGAGCTATTTTTATTTTCTCAATATGTAGGGGAATTTTCCATACTCATAAGCTTGTTGCTGGATGGCTTGCAGGGATTGATGGCTTATAGTTGACTCCACTTTGACTCAGCTG
This sequence comes from Homo sapiens, assembly GCF_000001405.40. Classification (NCBI taxonomy): domain Eukaryota; kingdom Metazoa; phylum Chordata; class Mammalia; order Primates; family Hominidae; genus Homo; species Homo sapiens. Next base: position 3,898,132 of record NC_000008.11, on the reverse strand, counting down.
GTAGAAACTCTGCTATATGGTGAGAAATTGGGTGTCAGGGCGATTGTAATATATTTCCCTCCATACCTTGTTTGTAAGTACATAATTTAGGTGGTAAGAATAGCATTGTCAAACTGGGGATCTGGGCACCTCCTAGGAGCTCTCCAGTTCTCCGTGACTAGATTTTGATTTTGTGTCTTCATTTGGTGATTATATAACTATATCTAAACATACACTGTATCATCCACATGGCCACCTTACTTGTTCTGTGGCCAAGATTCCATAGGCTATAAGAAGCAGCACTTTAATATCCTCAGGCTAATGAGAAAAAAGATGGAGATGAACTTACGAAGCAAATAGCCCATCTGGGCCAAAGGAAAGCAAATGATATCACAGAATGTTTCATGGAGGAGGCTTTTGCAGTAACTTTAATAGGGCTTCCTCACGGGATTATGGGCATGATAAAGGAAGTTGATAATAATAATTCTATTATTAACGATTATGGTGATAATTTGTGTTACAGCAGTCCATTTTGAGTTGCAGTTTAGGGTTACTTAAAATGCATAGCCTTTTTTTTTTTACTGAGGTAGTTTTGTATGCATTTATTTATATAACTTATAGTGTACACAGGCTTTAAGCATTCCAAGTTTATGCATGACTTTAAGATCATAAATAAAAATTTAGTTTATATATGCATGACTTTAAGATCATAAATTGAATTAAAAGTTAATAACAGGTCTTTGAGAAACATTTTGTTTTATAATTGGCCCACACGTATTCAAATGTAGGAATCACTGTTAGAGCACACTGCTTATAAGAGAAACCTGACCCAAGTATTTGACTGCTCCTGCACACAGCTCTTAAGTGTAGATAATTAAAATTGCTAGTCACACTATGACCGTTGTCTCTGTAGAAAGGGTAGGCTGTGTCATCTCACTCCTTTGTTTTGATAACTTCTTGACACCATTGTGCTACTAACCCTTGTCTCGTTGAAATTCAGACTCCTGTTTTAAAAACACTGGGTCTCTGTGATTTCAGTGCTGTCATGAATACATCCAGTATTGAAAGGAACATTCGGAAACTTCCAGTACAATAATTTCCCTTAATAAAAGACAAAAATTAGATCCAGGGAGCAAGTAAGTTGCTCAAGAGAAATGGAAAACTAGAATTGCTATCTAGGATGTCATGTTAAGCAGATTTCATTAGGGGTATTGATGACATGATTTGTGAGATAGAGGTTGTTATTGGAGAACCAAACATCAAATAGAATTAGGTGATAGACAAGCGCTTTTTAAAATTTTTTTCCTGACATTTATTTTTGGTTCAAACTTGATGTCACAATCAGACCATCAATTCAGACTCTCAGACAATATACTTGCTGTTTACGTATATTTCTTAATTAAAAAAAACATATTCAGGATCGAGACCATCCTGGCTAATGTGGTGAAATCCCGTCTCCAATAAAAATAAGAAAAATTAGCCAGTGTGGTGGCGGGCGCCTGTAGTCCCAGCTACTCGGGAGGCTGAGGCAGGAGAATGGCGTGAACCTGGGAGGCAGAGCTTGCGGTGAGCCGAGATCACGCCACTGCACTCCAGCCTGGGTGACAGAGCGAGACTCTGTCTCAAAATAATAATAATAATAATAATAGTAATAATATTCAAGACCTTATTTGGTAGCCTTTTATTGAATTTACTTTCTCTCCCAAGTGTTCAACGTTTTGGAGACATTACATGTAGCATTTTCCATGTGAAGATTAATCACTGTTGTTAACATCTGTTTGGACTATTAGTCTTAATGTTTTGCTAATTCAGCAAAGTGAGTATATGGAAATCTGGAAATACATTTATGCATTTTTCCCAAGGCGATGTCACTCATAGACAGATACAAGTTCTGGAAGGACTGTTTTGAGAAATTTTGGTGACAGCAACCAGGCTATAGAATTGGAAGATGTTTGTCACAGGGCTCTAGATCATGTTTTTGTTGTGTCTTAATCATTACATTGACTGAATCAAATTGGGCTTGTTACTCAAGCCCCAAGAATGGGCCCATCAGGAAGTTACCATCAGAGGTGTAAATGGAAATCAGCAGCTACATGAGTCCAGCGCTCCGCAGTCATTTCTTCCTTTCTTTTTCTGGAAGAAACCACACTGCACTGAATGATTTACAGTAATAGGGGAGGTTAACAGGACTATCTTTTACAAGTGGGACCTAAAGTGCCTATTGGTTGGTGCCTCTCCCACCTGAGTGTGCATACAGAGTTTCAGGGGATGAGGTTAACCTGACTATTCCCATCCGACTTGTCTGGAAGGGAACAAGCCAGGTCAGAGCTGTGGCTCACACTGCAGGTACAACTGGAGTGTGAAGAGTTATGACCGTAGGAAATATTTCTTAAATGACTGAATTAGGAATGAATAAATAAGTGAAAGAACAAGCAAATAAATTGACAAGTTAGGAACTAAATACAAATACTTGGATTATAAATATGTGTGTCTCAAATATAGTAATTATTTAGGATAGGATTCTTCCCTTTTTGAGACTTTACTAAATGGTACATATATGGGCATTAGAAAGGTAAATCCATATATGCTTATTTCATGTGCTTATATCCTTTTAGGATCATATTTATTCCCTAAGGATAGATACACTTAAATTGATAATAGGCCTAATAATATTGATTTTTTCTTTTTTGTCTGCTAAGATTTAAACATTGTGGATTGACACTGTTGTGTTAATAGGGCCACAGAAACCCACAATCACACAGTATTTCATTTAATATATAAAATATTTCCCTTGTGTTATAAATTGTCTCAGTTGTAACTCCAAACATAAATCTATGTTAATAAACATAGATAGGTTTACTTTACATAATTTAAATAGAAAGCAGTAGACCATCTCTTTGTTGTTGTAAGCACAGTGATCATTTTAAACACTAATTATTTTAATTAAATCCATTTTCTTAGTAACAGGAAACTTTGTTGGTGTCTCTGAATTAGTGATTTGGAGATAAAGCCAATGTCTAGGTGATTCATGAATCACATTTAATCAATATGTTAAGAAGTCCTTGAATGTTTAATTATAATGACCACTGGCTGTACTCCACCTATACCATTCAAATAATAAATACCTCACAAATGGCCTCCACTAAGCTGCTTTCATACCAAATGGGAGATTCATGATTGACTCTTCTAATTACCCTATTCATCATATTGGAAATTGTCATCTGTATGGTACAGTGTTGAATACTAGGAACCCACTGTAATTTTATAGGATTTATAAGACAGGTGTGAAAATAATGTTCCTTTAGAATAGAGCCAGAGCAAACCCTTGTCAGTGAATTTGAATTAGAGCACCTAAATATTTAACAGCCCTATGCACTTCTAATTGACATGTGGAAGCAGAGACACTTCCTTAGTAATTCTAGTTAATCAAGAAACTAATTCATATAGTTGGAGGCAGGAAAAAGGATCAATGAACTTTTCAATTAGACTCTCTTGTTAGGTTAATAGTGAAGTCTTGTTTAGCCTTAGCACTGAGCATTTATTTTCTGTAAATAGCCCCATACAGACAACAAATCAATAGGATGTAGAAATCTATTTTAGGTACACTTTTGAGGAATCTATCATAGGATTATTTTTTTTTAATTTGGCAAATGTTAAAACTACTTGTAGTTCTATATTTGAGGTCTCAAGATAATTCAAGATTATTTTCTTTTACTTGAAAAAACGTAAAATTATGCTGGTCTTTGGAAATGTCTAAGCCATGAAGGATGTGTCTCCCCTTGAGTTGCAACACCCATTTAATCCTCGTGATAGAAAAAATCCAGAGCAAAGCTTTCAGTGGTGAAGATGAGACTGGAGCGAGACAGGTGCACAGGAAGTAGATTACAGTGTGGAGATGGGACTGCAGATGTTGACAGCTGTTGTGATACCTGCGTTCTTGTCTTCTGGGTTTAGAACAATTCAAACAAAAGACACACAGCAAAAGAAGTGTAGCATAGAGTAGTTTTTGCAAAGGAAAAAGAATATTTTTAAGTGAGGTGCAGAATAGACGGAACACCGTGAAAGAGACAATTAACGGCTTGCTGCTTGTGAGGATGTGGCAGCAATGACCAGCACTATGGAGACTCCCTTTATGGGAGTTTTACATTATTATTCATAAGGAGATGGGAAGAGGTGTTGCCAGTAAGCAAGTTCTGGGTGGTCCTCTGGGTGCACACGTGCGGTAACTGTACATGCTTGCTCATGAATTGCATGTCTCATTAACATCTTAAATCTCCAACCAGGGGTGTGTTTTTTACTATTTTAATGAACAAAGGGTCAGTCTGGCAACAGGTAAAATCAAAGTGTGCATGCTCTCTATAGGGGAAATTCCTTACTGAAGATAGCTTTCTTGAATGAGCTCAATTACAAAGCGAATGTTAATGCTTATTGTGATGGCTGTATTGTTACCACGGTTGCTGCGGTTGTTGTGTTTTGAGGACATGCCCATTTCCTTGACTACCTCTCCTAACTGAGAGCAAGACACCATGCACAGTAAGTAGATTCTAATGGTGGAGATGGGACTGGAGCTAGACAGGTGCAGAGGAAGTAGAGCAGTGGCGTTTGCCTTTGGTTTCATAATATTTATAAATTTAATTTGTAAAACAAAAATTGTAATAAATGTTCTGGTTTTGCTTTTGCTTTATCCTTTGCAAAAGCTATCATACTGTCCTCATTGGTTTCAGGAGTTGATCCAGATTTTGTTAAGCTTCAAGGTCATACAATTTTGATGACCCTCTAAGAAAAAAAATAATATATATATATATATATATATAAAATTGTGAATATTATTAGTTTGGGACATAAAATTTTTCTTTACAATAAGAAATCACAAATTACTTGTTTTATAGGCTAAAATATTACAAATATAAGAAGAAGAAAAAATGTGTTTTAAGAGGTTTCTAGTCACTTTATTTCTGACGTGCCCTGGGAACATGTTTTTTCACTGCAGCTTTGGCTAAAGACTCTTTGATTACCTTTTTGTGTGAGGATGATTTTGTCATGTTTTTTGCAGAGATAATAGAAAGCTAATTCCAGCATTTCTCCAGCATACTTGGTCAAACTTGTTTAATCCATATCACTATTATTGACAAGTTATTTTCAGTGTGAAAACTGAACCATGATTGTTATGTCATATTTTTTTTTTATCACTGTGGTCAGACTTGAGAAAACTTCCTTCAAGTTAATTTCACAGAGAGGCCTCTTGCTCTGTCCACATCAACGCTTGCCATCCTCTCCACTCACCTGCTCTGTGTCTGGCCCGTGGAACACATTCTCAGAACCTGCACTTGGGCGTCATGGCTCACCTGAGTTCACGTAGAAGACTGTCCAAATTGTCCTACGATGGCTAGCAATAACTTCATAATGCACAGAAGTGGCAAAAAAAAAAAAAAAAAAAACCTGCCTAAATGTACTCAAATAAGTGCCTACTTAATTCACCTTGAACCCAGTCTCCAAAAATCCCACGACGTGCCAAGCAACAGTACTGACGTGCACCAGAGTGAAAGTAGGAGTGGGGAGAGAACAGATTTAACTGGTTTTACTTAGAGTAATCTTATTATTATTATTATTATTATTATTTTTGCAAAATTCCTCTAACATAGGATTGGATGCACGGTCTCTTAGATCCTCTTGCAGAACTTAGTTGGGGCCTGAATGAATGAGGGGCTATGAAGCCTGTCACTTCACAAGCTTTGGGGAAGTTCTCCTTGATGATCTGTGTAGGTAAAGGATAACACATAGAAAGCATAATACGTTCCCCACACGTCTTCTTGAAGACATAGGCTGAAGACAGTTTCCCTTTTCAGCAATTAAGCGTTGAGTGATGTGTAGTTGTTCTTTGTGCTGGATTATTGAATGTTCAGGTATCTGAGTAAATGCTTGACCTCAGCACTTTAATTTAACCTTGTAAAATAGGGCTACACATTGGAAGCAGGCTAAATGCCTCATATATTTGGGGCTGTTACCTTTCACTTTACTGATATTATCTTAGAGCTTATGTATCTGTCCTGCCTGAATAGGAAACTTTGAAAAGCACACACACAATGAACCTTACCCAAATGTGACTTTCCTTAATTTTTTTTTTTTTTGTTTGCGACTATCATGTTGGTGATAGTATCGTGTGCTAATATTGAAGTAGCCGATGCTGTGCTTTTGGACGCTGGAAAATGTTCATTTTGCTCTTAAGAGTTTGGTGTTCTGATAATTTTGTAAATCATGTGGACATAATAAACGTGTCAGTAACTAGCCTTTTTTTGGGCAAGCTTTAATGGATTACCATTACAGATGAGAGAATTAGGCTTGTAGAAATAATTGATGTGCCTAAATCACATAGTAATGACGTTATGAAGCAGAGATTCAGTCTCCAGTCAGTGTTATACTGCCTGGGAGACTAGTGTTAGGAGACTGAGTTAATCCTTTTTTTTTCGTTTTGAGACAAGGTCTTGCTTTGTCACCTAGGCTCTAGTGCAGTGGTGTGATCACAGCTCACTGAAGCCTGGACCTCCTGGGCTCAAACAATCCTCGCATCTCAGCCTCCCAACTAGTTGAGACTACAGGTGTACACCCCCACTATTGGCTTTTTTTTGTGTGTGTGTGATTAGGCATGGGGTCTTGTTATGTTGTCCAGGGTGGTCTCAAACTCCTGTATACAGGAAATTCTGCCACCTTGGCCTCCCAAAGTTCTGGGTTTGTAGGCGTGAGCCACCATACCTGGCCTCGGATGGATTTTGGAATTGAATTGACCTAATTTCAAGAACCTGCTCAGGATAGGCGCGGTGGCTCACGCCTGTAATCCCAGCACTTTGGGAGGTTGAGGCAGGTAGATCACTTGAGCAAGGAATTTTTGAGACTAGCCTGGGAAACATGGCAAAAACCCATCTTTACAAAGAAAAATACAAATATTAGCCAGGCATGATGGCACATGCCTGTGGTCCCAGCTTCTTGGGAGGCTGAGGGAGGATCACTTAAGCCCAAGAGGTGGAGGTTGTAATGAGCCAAGATCACAACACTACACTCCAGCCTGGATGACAGAGTGAGATCCTGTCTCAAAATAATAAAATAAAACAAAAAAAAAACAAAAAAGCTGCTCAATTATTTCACGGCCTTCATTTTCCTTAGCTATAAAATGTCCATAACATCCATTTCACAGGTTATTGAGAGAGTCGTATGAGAGTCGTATGAGAGAGTAGCTAGCACATAGTCCTATGAGAGAGTAGCTAGCACACTCAAGAAATCTTGCTCTTTCATCCTCTCATTGTATATACTTACTGAGTATGAGCATTTTATTTAAACAGATATTACTATATTTTAGTCCCTGGAAATGTCTGAGGACAAAAATTTGCTCAAACATTAGCACAGACAACAGAGCCACATGCTAACTTGCATCATGCTCCCAATATCTTCCTTTAAATGTTTTCTGGGGCAGGACTCATTTGGAGTAATCGGTTTTATTAAATTTGGGGACTAGAAATATGCTCCATTTCTCTGAAATCGGAAAAATATGCCACGTGCTTTATTTCCTGAAATCGGCATAAAAACCTTATGTGTTACCTATTATTTTGTCCTTTGAGAGATAGAGTTATTTTGTTCCCCACCGAGTCCTGCAAGTGTGCCTCAATGCCTTCCTTCATTTTCAAAACTTCCCTCACTCAGCTGGAATCCTCAGTCTCCTCCAAGACACTGCGAGCTTGTTCAGGTGGCGTCTGATGTCCCCTTTGTCTTTGTTTTCCACAGTCTATTAAAATACCTACCAAGTAGTAAACCCTGCCCAGTGCCTGTTGAATTCAAGTGTGCAATTCTCCATTAATATTAATATTTTTCAAGTAAATCAAAACCCAGCAAAATATCTGATGTTTCTTTGCAAGTTTGAACAACAAGAATATTTCTTATCTTTTATTAAAAGTAAAATTGTATTCTTCTTAGGGAATATGATACTTTAGTTATCAAAATGCTACAAAAGAAGCACTAGTCCATACACCCAATAATAAACTATCAAAGTTATATTATCAGATTATCTCATTTGTCCTAAAATAAAAACACACAAATGCAATGATAAATTGGGATTCAGAAACTTTTTTAAAAAAATGTTTATATTTTTTGAGAAGGGATCTCCCTATATTCCCAGGGTTGTCTCGAGCTCCTGGGTTCAAGCAATCCTCCCACCTCAGCCATCCAACCGTCTGAGACTACGGGCATGTGGCATTATGCGCAACTCAGAAAGTAATTTTGATATTTCAGTGCCTTTGACCTTTGGTAATATTTTATTTCATGAATACAAAATAGTCAAAAGAGAAATAAAGAATTTGCAACAGAAGAGTATGGGATACCTATATAATTCTCTATGTCTTTCATATGCTTAAGGTGATACTATACATAATAAGTCTGTTTCACAAAATCCATAGCTCAATTTATAGGAAGTCCAGGTTGAGTTTCATTTTGCAGATAGACAGTAGATAGGACCAACTTCCAGTATCTTGATTTCCTCTTCACACTGTCAGCTGAGTGAACTTATGACCTAATGAGCATATATGTATACATACACATACACACACACAGACACACATATACACATATGTGTGTATGTATATATATGTATATATCATGACCTAATGAGCATATTTTATATATATATATATATATATATATATATATATATATATATGGAAAGATCAGAAGCATATCAACTAATGACTACAATGTGGAAGGCATTATTTAATGTTAGTAAAAAATATTAAAATTTTAAAAAATACAAGCAAAATTTGTTTTAGTACCATAAGACATGGCAGATTATCGTCTCTTCTTCTTTTCCTTTTAACCTCTGAAAAAAAAGGCAATGGCTTTCTAGAAAAACATTTAAGAAATCTCTCTTTAATTTATCATTATTAAATTTGATTAATTATTATTGCTGCTGCTAAGTTAGTCTTGTTCGAATCTTGCATCGTCACACTTCATTTTGTTTTCTAAACACTGATTTTTCATCTGAATCATTGGGAGTAAAACTTCTAACTTGCAGCAACCAATGAATTGGTCACCAGCAGAAAAAAGATAGTTAACATATTAAGCTCCTTTTAAGAATTGTATGAAATGGCAATTATGGTAATTGAATGAGTTTGTAAGTACTTTTGGTCATAAAGGATAAAGTTTCTTTAAATATAATACAATTAATAAAATCTTCACATAAACCTAAATGGTATAAAGATATGCTTTTAATTATATGACGAAAATCATCATTGATATTGAAGTCACAGAAATAGAATACATTTATAGACAGAGGGCATCATTTTCTAGAATAGTACCTTTCTTAGCTCATTTTAGAAGGGCTATTTGGAAGGACCCAAATGGAAGGACCATTTGGAAGGTCGGTTTGTTGTCCCAGAGACTGGGACTCAATAAGGTCTTCAGCCAGCAGCACCATCTCTGTCCCGGCAGCCTCTTTCTCTCTCAGTGCACAATGAGATTAATCTCAACATGATAGAGCACTTGACCTTGCTTGTATGACAAAGATCTTGTTAGATTATGCAGCTGGGCCATTATTAGCTCAGCTTTCTCCAGCTGGTACTTGATACAAGAGGCATGACAAGGTCAGATGGGGGAGCCAGCAAAGCGCTTTGTGTTTCATTTGAGCTAATGATAATCATCTCCTAAATGGCGCTTCTTTTTAATTATGCATTTGCACATGAACCTTGCATTAAGGTAAAAAAAGGTTTCCGTATAGAATGAAATAGGCTTCTCTATGAAGCTTGTTTAGAGCTCATCTGACTGAGTAATCACCATCCTTTGACTTTGGATACAAATGCTTGCCTTGAAGATCAAAGTGTCAAGCTTATGTTAACAAGGGTTTGGCATTTGGGTGTATTTAGCAGATCATCACATTTTGCTTATTCCTCTAACTTTATGTCTAGGTTTTGATTTGAAGTTTTTAGGTCAGGTATGTTATAATTTTTATGGGATGACGAACATTGCATACAAATGATGTTAGTTATCCATGTTATCCCACTTAGGCAAAGGAGCGTTGGTTTTTAATTAATGATATTGCAGAAAAGTGATAACTGTACAGTATTTTCCAATATCTTTTGTACGTTTAATTAATTTCTCTGCCAGAAGTTGGACTCCTTTAATAACCAGATAAGAATCCTGACAAGCTTGTTTTCTCTGTTTTCTTAAGTATTGCTATTGAAAGTATTCTTTTCCTGATTGTAATTGATGTCAACTGAGTTTTCATTATTTTGTTCACTCTACATAAAAGCATGAATAAGACTTCGAATATTTAGTTTCTTCCTTGCACAGATGAACAAACGGAGGCAGACAGAGGCAAAATGCCTTTTCTGATACCACACACTCAGTTCATTTAGGGAGATATTACAGTAATCTGAGTTTTTTCTATCCACAGATCAAAGCTATTTCCTTCCAAACCTGTGACCTCTGTGTAACTCAGATACATAGGTATTGTCTCTTAACTCTAGGTGTGGAACAGTGTTCTCAACTCTCTATTTATATTAGAATTACCTGGGGAGCTTTAAAACATAATTTCCTTGGCCTTGCTCTACAGGAATTCTAATTTAATTGGTTGAGATTAAGGTCTGGACATTCATGTTTACAAAAACAGGCAACTCTAATGTTCAGCCAGAGGTGAGAACTGGACGCCTAGAACAAAATTAGCCCCACTTTCATGGATAGGGTCTATAATTTGTCCATACATTTCAGACAGAGTAGAAGGTAACTTGTTCTTGGATACATCTGGAAAGAGCTGTTGATTTATCTTGCTTTTATTGCTATCCTGAAAACGTCTCAGAAACTATCACCTGGCGATGGGGGGAGGATGTACCGTGGGCCTCCCAGGTGGTTGTGTCACCACTGCTGTGCAAGAACATTGATGTCCTTCTCATGGCTAAGATGTTCCTTGTTGACGCTGATTGCCTCTGGGCGCTTGAACACTTCAGCAGCTGGAATACCCTCTACGCATGCCATCATCCTCACCCACACAATAGAGTTTTGGTAGAAGTCCCACCCTCTACTTTTCAGAGCTCAGCTAGAGTGGGATTGTGTCTTGATGTGTAGGTGGGAAAATGTGTGAGGCAGAGTTTGAAAGGTCACTGAAGTCCATGTGGTACCAGGTGATCAATGCTTCTCTAAGTGTTCATAATGCATTTATCTGAAGACATGCATTTCACTGAAAAATGACCTGAGTCCCCTGATGATTGGCTGTGTTTATGCTCAGTGAATCATTACCATGCGAGAGCCAGTATAGTGTAGCCATTGAGGGCAGAAAGTTTTGAATTAGATCTGTGTTCAAATCTCTATTCTACCCTCCTTCCTTCTGTAATCTTTGGCAGTATATCTGTCCCTAAGTCTGTGTCCTGCAGAGAATAGGGCTGATGACAGCCATCTTAGAGGCACTAGATTAAGACTTCCATAAGTGTCTAACATGTAGTAGGTTTTGAATCATCAGTAGCTGTTGTTAGAAGATACATCTCACTACTCAGCAAACTGCAGCCTATGGGCCAAATCTGACTCCAGGGACTTTGGAAAATAAACTTTTCCTGCAACACAGCCACGCTTCGTCATTAAAGTGCTGTCCATGGCCTGCTTTCAAACTTCAGCAGCACTGCTGGGTAGTGTGACAGAGACCGTATGGCTGACAAAACCAAAATATTTATTATCTGGCCTTGTAAAGAATATGTTAAATCGATTACATTCTAAATCACTGCTACCACAACTAGCACACAACCAATTTGCCACCACAGTTTGTTTAAAAAATATATAATGGGCCTGGCACAGTGGCCCACGCCTGTAATCCCAGCACTTTGAGAGGCTGAGGCAGTCGGATTACTTGAGGTCAGGAGTTTGAGACCAGCCAGGCCAACATGGTGAAACCCCATCTCTACTAAAATACAGAAATTAGCTGGGCATGGTGGTGGACACCTGTAATCCCACCTACTCAAGAGGCTGAGGTAGGAGATTGCTTGAAACAGAGAGACAGAGGTTGCAGTGAGCTGAGATCGCAGCACTGTGCTCCAGCATAGGCGACAGAGCAAGAGTCTGTCTCAAAAAAATAATAATAAATGTGTCTGTATATATATATATGTATGTATATATATGTACACATATATATGTACACATATATATATAATTTGAATCAATATTGCTTTGTTGTGATTTATGCCCATAACTTATCAACTTTTAACAATTTATATTTATTCACAGATTAACAACAAACTTTACTCCTATTTAGAAAAATTTAGCAAAAGAGCAAATTGTTTTGTTCACAGAGACGTTTGCCAGGTCAGACACATTTTTATTCTAGAACTGATTGTTTAAGAAAGTCAGCTTTCTGTCATAAATAAACTTGACTCCAGTTTGTTTGTGAGATGGAGAAGGGGCTGATATTCCTGAGTGCCTGAAATTTCATGAGCTCACACGTGCATTTCTGTGAGCTTGAGAAAGATGGAGAGAATAATGAGGGGGAATAGAGAACAGAAAGCAAGAAATGAAAGGAGCAGACGCTCATCATAGCCGATTCTGATGTTGGATGATGACTGCCTAATTTCATTACTAGGTGGAGCAACAGTTCTTTTTTCCCTAGTATTCTGAGACAACAGACCATCTAGAGACATTTTTCGAGAGTTTATTTTCATCTCTGAGAAAAGCAGAAATTTGTACTTCAGCTTTTTTCAAATAATTGATAGCATCCTGTGATGGGATATTGTCCTCATAACTACTCCATTGGCAGCTTCAAGCTTTTATATTTTCGTTTAACCGTTTAACAATATAAATGTCACTAAGTGTGCCAATAAATACTGACAAACCCCTGAAAAGGTCAGATTGATTCTATAACTCACACCTGTCTGATGCTAGAGGCTTTTCAGGATTTTCTGTGAACACTAATAAATAGTCTCCCATAAGGGATCTTCCACTTTTCTGATCTGTGAATGTCTCTTAATAAACTCAACGCTGATACAGTCACGAGATGGGATCTTGTTAATGAGGTACACAGTTTCGACAAATGTATCTGATAAGCATGTATATGAGAAGCTACTTGCTTTATAAGCATGGTAGAATCATAGACACTAGGTCCATTAGAAACTAGGTACATTTATTTCAGAGCTTACTCATTTGATAGGTGCATATATATATATATGAATGATGCCTTCTGAATGTGTGTGTGTGTGTATATATATATATGAATATATATATATATATATTTAGAAGGCCTTTAATATAAAAGTTATAATTTTTATGGTAGCAAAATTCTCAGCCTTGGCATTTTCATACACAGACTGACGACGAAGTAGAGATTCTCCTTGCGTAGCGTACCAAAAGGTACACAATAGAGGTGAATACTATTGGGATTAGAATCATTATTTACTCACAGGTTTTATACAAGTTAAGGCCAATCATGGACATTTTCTCAGTTGAGTTAGTACTAAAATTATAATTTAAAAGAGAAGAATATCCAGAATTTATTGGTCAACATTAAGTAACGTCTTTTTGTTTAACCAAATCAGAACAAATGACTTCTCACCGATGTTTCCATGTGTATGTGTGCAATTCCACACCCAGGTATATCAGAGTCCTGAGTGACTGCAGTGTTGGGACCCCGAAGGAGGAGAATCCAGGTGTGAAGTTATGCTACTGCGGGGCCCTGCTCAGGCTGGCAGTTGAGATTTTTGTTCTCTGGTGTCTTTCTGTGTCCCTTGTAACAAGATTTGTGCTAGAAGATGCCACTTTTGGCAAGCACCATGTCACTAACAGTTCTCTAGGGAATCAGTTGATTACTTTATGCAAGTTTGTATATTGCACATATAATGTTTTATATAACAAACACAAGTGGCCATTGTATGTTAAGTTGAAGACAGGTTAGACTTGCCATTAGAGGCGTATCAAAGGATAATGGAAGGCTTATTAAACAAACTTACCTATTTAAAAAGTGAATTTAAAGCCACCTGAGTTCATTTTTCCCTAAATATTTTCTTAGGAATAAAAATTCGAAACTGACATTGTTAATTACTTTTCAATTCGCTGTTTACCTTTATTGGAAAATAATGATTTTGAAACACTGATAGAGAAGTTAATGTTATCTTTTGCATGAAAACTAAAATATTTAGCAAATTCTGACCTTCAAATGTGTCTGTTTATCTTAGTATGTGCACACTCTATATCTATGTATGTTTAAAAGCGTATGCCTATATTCATATATTTTAACATATATTTAATTTATATTTAAATACACATATGAAAAACCGTATTGTTTTCCTCTTTTCTGTCAAAATTGTTAAATGCATTCATTCCTCTGATCAGTAGTTGTTAATGGGATTGTTTAAGTAGATTTAAAAGCTGCTTTTTCCCTGTGGATTTAAGATGACTGGTTTCAGTTGTTTCAATGAATCACTTTCAAGCCATAAATCATAACCATGCCATAATACATGGTACATGATTGATAGAAGTTAGTGTAAATTAATAATATCAGTAATTGATATCAATTTTAATAATTGATATTAATTGATATCAAATAAATAATAACACTAATTTTTGCAAACTATTCCTTGAAGGCATCAGTTCACTGCTTTAGTTATTAAATAGTACATAAAGCCGCATGATTCATTTAAAGGAGCAGTGAAAAGGTATATTTGTGTGCATATACATATATACACACTTATACACGAGCATACATATATACACAAACATACACACACATACATATATACACACACATACACCCAGTTTAAAACTATGAGAAATCGATAGCTGGAAAACTTCATGTTAATTGACTTTTTTAGTGTCCAGGACATTGTGTGTATTATATTATGTCGTTCAGTTCTCACAGTAAACATGTGAGCTGGAAATACTTTATCTCAATATTTAATATGAGGAAAATTACAGGTCAAATGAATCATTCAAGGACACGTATCTAGTAAATTGCATTTCTTGCATTTGCACCCAGCCATTTAATTCCAAGGCCTGAGCTTGCAAGTATGATGTGGTTATTTTTATTTTGTTATTTACACTAAGGATTCTTAGGGAATTCTTAGAGTAAATAGTCAAGACACATTTATGTCAGTGGCTCTTAGATATGTTCAGGCGTTTTATTGGTTCAGGATAAAATATGCATGCAGAAGTGTGCACATATCAGCTATTGAGAGTCAACAAACTTTCGCAGAGAGTTTGTGAAACTTCAGTACAAGGCCAAGATGCAGAACATTACTCCCACAAGATGCTAGCATGCTCTTGAAATCGTCAGTCCCAACTCAGGGGTAGCCATTCTCTTGGCTTCTGACAGCATTGACTAATTTGCCTATTTTGACACATTCTGTAAATGACACTGTAGATTTTGCATTGTTTTGCTTTTGGATTCTTTCACACAAAGTTATGTTTGTGACATTCACCTACATTGTTGTGCACATTTGTAATGTGTTCCTTTTCATTGCTGTGTAGTATTTTGTTTTGTGAACATACCACAACTTATTTATATCCCTGAGGGCAATTACATAATTTTCAGTTTGCAAAGGTTACAAATAGTGCTACTATGAACATTCTAGCCTTGGGTGAATATTGGGTATATGCCTAAGGATGCGATCGTCCACTCACAGTGTATGCATGTGCTCAACCGAGGCAGAGAGAGTCTAATAGTTTTGCAAAATAATTCTACTGATTTGTAATACCACCGTAGTGTAGGAAATTTCCAGTTGCTCCACATAACCAACATTTGGCAGGTTTCCTGTTTTTAAAATTGTATTTTAACCATTCTAGTGGGGATGCAGTATTCTGTCATCGTCGAGATTTTATTTGAATTTATCTGACTGCTAATGAAGTTGAATGACTTTGTGTGTTTATTGGATTGATGATTTGGTGTCTTTTTCTAATAAGTGTCAGTTCAAATCAATTACTTTTTTTTCCACTTTATGGGTTGTCTCTCTCTTTCTTGTTGATTTGTAAGATGTCTGTATATTCTGTACACAAATCTTGGTGGAGGAGCCAATTGTGATGATTTTTTCTCACTTTCTGGCTAATGGTTTGACCAGAATTTCTTAAATTTAATATGTTTAGACTATTGATATGTTTTTTCTTTTATTGTTAATACCTTTTAAAAATAGTTGCATCATCAGACATCGTAGAATATTCTCTCGTGATTGGTTATTGGAAATTTGTTTCATCTTTCAAGTTCAGATCTGTAATCTCTGTGGAATTATAAAGAATCCAGGTAACTTTTTCTGTATGAACATGCAACTGACCCAGCCCCATTTATGGAGAAGTCAATCCTTTTCCCCTTGCCCTGAGCAGTGTGGATTTGCTTCTCACTTCTGTTCTTCCCTTTGCTTAGCTGTCTTTCCTTGCATCGACCATTCAGAGTCTTAAGTAATTAATTTCTGGAGTAAATTTTGATAACTGGTAGTGTAAGGCCCCAAGCTCTGCTTTTCTCTTTTTTTCCAAATTGTTTTTTTTTGTTTTCTTTTGTTGTTGTTGGTTTTTGTTTGTTTGTTTGTTTTTGTTTTTGTTTTTTTTTTTTTTGAGATGGAGTCTTGCTCTGTCACCCAGGCAGGCTGGACTGCAATGGCTCCATCTTGGCTCAATGCAACCTCAGCCTCCTGAGTAGCTGAGATTACAGGCACCCACCACTACGCCCAGCTAATTTTTTTGTATTTTTAGTAGAGACAGGGTTTCACCATCTTGACCAGGCTGGTCTTTGAACTCCTAACCTTGTGATCTGCCTGCCTCGGCCTCCCAAAGTGCTGGGATTATAGGCATAAGCCACCGCACCCGGCCCCAACTTGCTTTTTATATATCTATATATTCAGTCTTCTTTGCTTCAATGGAAATATTAGAATTGGCTTATGAATTAGTGAAAAAAAAAAGCAAAAAACAAAGAAACAAAACTCTGTTGAGGTTTGGGTTGAGAGTGACTTGAATCTATATAATACATTTGTAGAGAATTGCCATCTTTAAAATATTGTGTCTTCTAATGTACAAACATGGCACATATCTGCATTTTTTAGATCTTCTTAATTTCAGTCAATAATATTTCAGATTTCGTGCATTCAGTTTTTTATATAATTTTTTGAATTCACTCATAGATAGTTGAGGCTTTATTGATATTGTAAATGATTTCTTTTTAAAATTTTGATCTTCATTTGCCTTTGCTAGTACTTAAAAATGCAGTTGTCTTTTCTATACTAATTTTGCATCCAATGTAATACTTGGTAAATAACATTGTGTTTACTTTCAATGGTACACGAAGGAGGACTAGAAAAATTTGTATTAGAAAAAATATAAATGCGCAGGTCATTACGTTATTTTTAGGAATTATCTTTATAACCAACCATCTAAAAGAAAATACATTGTTTTTCGTGAGACAAATTTTGGATAATAGCTGTATAATATAATTTTAATATATTTTGCTTATTTAAGGATTGGAGCTGAGGATTTGGGAAACGTGTGCAAAGCTTTCTTCCTTTTTAGACTTTACAGGAAAGGTTAAGAAACATGTATGTCCTAGATTTAAAATGGAGAATCCAAAAATATAGTACTATTTGTGTAGTGGAAGATAACTGGCTATTCACAATGCTACTGAGAAGCACTTAGTAAAATAAACTACGTGGCTTTAGAAAATCAAATTTTATTTATAACTCTAAGGAAATAAAGTGAAGCAGCGAGATATCTCAAGAATTAAAATTTACATAAATATCACTCAAATCCTGGAAACTGAAGCTAATTTGGTCATGAGGCAGTTCATTTATATGGCAATTTGGCATATTGTTTACTGTCAATTAACAATAAAGAACAACGATGCAGTAATAATGGGATAGTTTTTGAAAAATGTAATCTAATATCAGCATGTAGAGCAAGAGAATTTGAGTTCTCATGAATGTTAAGAGAAGGTGATTCATATAGAATTGCACCTGAAATTGCATTATTTTCCCTAACTGCTCCTCTTGGCTATTCTTGAATCCAATTTCCTCTGTACCATGGTCGAAGGTACTAGCAGTCACAGTAGAAACTTGTGACAGTAAATGAATTTAGTAATACGTTTGTTAGGTTAGGAGTTCTCAGTCAAAAAAAAAAGAAAATCTTTTATAATCTTCGAGGATTTTATACTTACATTAGTCAGTAACTTCGGTACAGAATCAAAATTACCAGTCCATCTTAATACAATTCTAACCCATCAAATAAATATGTAGTAAGTCGTATCACATACCAAGCACTATTTCGTTATAGGGGATAAAAACGTGAATACAACATCCACACCAGAAGAAGACTAAAACGCAACACACACACACACACACGCACACGCACACCGGTACACACTCTATACACGAAATAAATGACAAATATCTGAAGCTGAAAGCAATGTTAGTTCATAGAAAAACGTGCTAGTCCACATGCAACACTTTTTCTATGTAGGTTAGGAGTTAGCCTTTCATTTTTTTCTGAGAACTATGTGACGTCAAGAAATATTGGTGTCTACACAGAAAAAGATGTTTGTGCTTTTTCATTTCTGAAACCAGTTAATAAAAGCAAATCTCATTCTGATAGCTATGTGATTGTTAAGGTAATATCAATAGAGAATGACAAAGTAGACTGTAGCGGGGGAGGAGCTACATCTTCCTTGCTCTCACGGTAACTTGGTCTCTGTCCCATTTCTAAGCAAAACGAGAAGCAAAAACCTGGGACATTGTTCTCAATGACCGGACTGATTCATTTCCTCCAGATTAATTGGCTTGTGCTACAGTGTATGAATACTTTATGTCTATAGAGATTCCTTAGATGATTCTAATGAATAATAATCTTGTAATGATTTAGATTTGGCTGCAGGACATTTTTGACATACATTTGATATTGATACATATTGATGAACAGTATGTAATATACAATCCTATATACACAGGTATAGTGTATAAATACATACCTGTATATTTCTAGGCAAAGAGAAGTGTGCTGTAATAAACCACCACCTGCTCCAGGCTTTGATAGTACTAATAAAACAAAATGATTGTTTGAACACCTAAGATTCAAGAAGATGACTACATGCTTGGGTACCCCAGAATAACTCAGATGCTATCCCTGTTCTTAGAGAACTATCCAAACTTCAGAGGTAAAATATACTAAATTATTAGTACTAATATATTATTTTTTGCTTGAAGTGCTTGCATCATGATTTTAAAAACTTAGTCATATATTAAAGTTATTTTCTGTCATGTACATTCTCTGAGACTTCATATAACTTGTGATATTGGTGAATAATTAAGCTCAGTCAGTTTATTATGGTTTGTGTCCAGGACACACTTGATAAGATATGGAAAGCTGGATTTGTGGTCGTCGTTATAGTTACTCAAAGTTTGCACAAACTCAGGAAGCATAACTGTCCAACATAAAGTACAAGGGTCTAATATTTCCCATGACACAGTGTCTCACTGAAGCATCAGACATACTAGCAACTCAGACTAGTTGAATATGAAACTACTTATTTGGGTCTTTTGGAGATTTTTCTGTCAATAAACAGAGATAGATCTTACAGATTTATCGGTAAAAATGTTTGAAATAATGCACGCAATTTTTTCTATACTTCCTATCTATATAATTTCCTTTTTCATTTTTTAAATAAATAAAAATATTAAAAAGCTAGCTTGTGTTCTACTTAGTTAATATTTAAGAGTCTGTTCATGTTTACACTGGAAAGGCAAGACTGGTATCATTGTTGATATTATTGTTATAATGTGGGAGACTCTTAGAGGCAAATCCAGGATTTTCTTCGTGTATCAAATAAAGAAGATACACGTGTAAGAATATTTTAAAGAATAGTGTAGAGAATATTATACACTGGGAGAAGAGATTGATTTATTTTAGTCCCATTCCTGGAAATTGTATATAATCTAAGAAATTATCATCTCGACTTCTCACTACTTGATATTAGTTTTATCCCTGAACTACAAAATTTGGAATTCTCCATTTGAATCTCTCGTGCAAAAAATGTACAAAGACAAAAGGAAAGGAATGTGGGCAGGGAAGGAGGAAGGAAGACAGGCAGAAGCTGATAGCAAATGTTCAATGCATGACCACCCAGCATGAATATGTAATTAGATGGAGGTACTAATAAATCATTTTATCTTTGGAAAGTTTTATCATTTACATTCAGTTTAAGTTTAAAAAAAAAAAAACTTTGCATGACCTTGATGTAGACAAAGCTTTAGGTCATGGCCACGACCTATAAAATGATTTACTTGAAGATACAATTTTCCTTCTGAATGGTTTAGTAATGTTTGTTTGTCATTATTAGACAAAATTTAAGTCAGTTCTATAAATATACAATCTCCATGATAATGTTCCATTTAACTTAACATGCCATGCTAACGCTAGATTTACATATCAAAGTGAATTATTAACGGTCAAACTTGCTATTTTATTGTGACTGCATATGAAAATATATAAAATGTACAAGCCATGTGCTCAGACCCTTATTCAGGGGAAAATAGACATTCTACTGTAAGGAGTAGATGAACTGGGCAGAAATTGTGGATTCTGGTTGTTAGATCTAACAGTGTAACCCTGAAGAGCTCATTTTTTTCTCTGGCCTTTACCTGAATATGGGGAACATCGAAGCTTGAGGGTATCCATAAGTAAATTTCCTCCCTCGTCTTAGAAGCAAATTGAGAGAGCTGTAGGGCCTGCTAGATTAAGAGAATTCATCTGGAACGCTAGACTCCGCTTCTGAGCCTGTATGGAACGTGGGTTCGGTCTGCAGCCATGTCTGGCAGGTAGCCATGGAAGAGCACATGCCTCCCCCATCATGGACACAGCTGGACACCTGGAGGGCTCCCAGCATGCAGAAGTTTCCTTTCACCACGCATCAAGGGCCACACCAGGACATCTGCTCACTGTAGGCAGGTCTCAAAGCAAGCAGTGTGGGGTGCTGAGCCCAGTGTCCACTTCCTTCTTCCAAAAGTCACTTCTCCTGTAGGAAAGGTAGAGGAAGGGATGGGGAAAGTGCAAAATTCGCCTGCTTCACCGAGGAGTTGCACTACTTCAGGCTGAATCTCCCTTGTAAGAACCTTAAGACATTGTGGTTACGACAGGCAAAAAAACACTATACGAAATGAAAATGCTCACATTTCATATGAAAGTATGTTATTGCTTGAGATCTGTGTTATGACTTATGAATTATTTCTTGTGCTTCTAAATAAATCATGATAAAAAGCCAAGCATGAGAGGCTGGACAGAGTGGATCATGCCTGTAATCCCACGCATGATTTTGGGAGGCCAAGGCGGGCGAATCACTTGAGGTCAGAAGTTCAAGACCACCTTGGGCAACATGGTGAAACCTCGTTTCTACAAAAAATTTTTAAAAACTTGCTGTGCCTGGTGGCCTATGCCTGTGCTTCCAGGTACTCAGGAGGCCAAGGCTGGAGGATTGCTTGAGCCTGGGAAGTCAAGGCTACAGTGCGCACTGATAGCACCACTGCACTTCACCCCAGGCAACAGAGCAAGACTCTGTCTCAAAAACAAAGAAACAAACAAAAACAATACCATGAAGCATGATAAAAAGCCAGTACCTCATTTTAGAATTAATAATTTTTTAGGAATAAATATGAATAAATTTCTCCTAATAAATTACATCCACACTTACACACTTACATATTTTATCAATTCTGTTAGGACTCTCCAACAAGAGACAGGAATAAAAGGAGAATGGTGTCTCCAGGCTTCTAAGTGCAGAATTCTTTAGAAATACAGGAAAGTTTATTGAGTACTCTAGGACAACACTATACATGAAAACTAACACAACAGTCATCCTGGGCTTTGAAATGTGCATCACCTTTTCCCATACTAATTCTAAAAACTTCTAAGGTAAATAAAACAACACGTGAATGCATTTGATTTTAAACGTCTGGCTTAGCGATATCAGGGGTGAGAGGAGTTTTCCCCTCCCCTCCTTTCAAACATGAGTTTCCTTCACAAAACATGACTGTCACTGGTTTCCAGAGGTTAATTTCTTGCTTTTTTAACTTATTTTTTAAAAGGAAGAAAACAAATATATAGAAAAGACAACAAGTATATTTCAAAATAGGTAATTAAAATGCAGTATTAAGATCAAAGGGTATAAAAACTGGAAATAGAACTGTAGGAAGAAATGTAAGACATGTGGCCCTTCGCAATTTTACAGTTACTCCATAAATTTGCCTCCGAGCTTCCCATTGATCTCCTCATAAAGAGAAACATGGAAATTTGCTTGTGATTTCCTACCAAGTTTGGAACACACTCTAGTGTTTCCAAAAGGCAATCCTTGATTGATCTGCAAATTCCCTCAAGCTCTCAGCTGTTTTTGTACCTTCCCTTTACCACAAAGCTTTGAGGAGGTCTTCACTGGCTGTCTCCATTTCTTTGACTGCCTTTCTTTCCTCAATCCACTCGAGAAGATTCTGCCCCCTCCCTAGACCTCAGCCAGAGCTGCTCTCCTGGAATTCACCACCCACTTCCATGCTCCGGAGGCTGTGAGGAAACTCTGGTCCTCCTCCTCTTCCTCCTCTCACAATGGGACTCCTCTCCAATAAAACATTCCTCCTGAAGGAGCCTCTCCTGCTTTCCTTCTTCCATGCCGGCTGCTTCCTCCCCTTTTCTCCACCTCTCCATGCCAGTGACCCTCGGAACCCAGTTCGGGCTTTTCCACCCATTCACCTACATCATCTCACTCCCTCCTGCAGGAACTCCTCCAATCCATAACTTCATAGACCATGTCTACGCAGAAGTCGCCAAAACGTCACTCACTGTCCTTCTTAGTATCTAATTCTCCTTCACCTAATAGAACAGCAAATTCTTTGAGTTTAGGATCCTTAATGCAGTGTAAATATTGCCTTTTATCCTTCTTCTCAGCTATGGTCTCAATTCAAATCATGAGGACCATTGTGGTGGCTCCCGAATGGCCTCACTGTTCCACTCCTTCCCCACTGCGCTACAGTCCATTCCCCAGTGTCGCATTTTACATCGAGTAATTTCCAAACCCCACAATGTGTTCCTGAAGCCCCTCTAGGATCTGGTCCCCAGGCACCTTTCTGTGTCCGCTCTTCTGCTCTTTCAGCCGCCCCAGCTCATGCCAGCCTTTGTGCTTGCATCCATTCTTCTTGAGATGATGCAGCCAGACGTCCATCCTGCTTGGCTCCTTCATGGTAGAAGCTCTCAGATTAAATGTCAGGCCCCAAGGTCTTCCCCAAGTCTTATTCAAATCACTGGTGCGCAGCATCGCAGTGGATCTCACCACCCTTTGCCGTTTTCTTAATGGGTTTATTCATCCTCCGAAATTGACCCCGTCTTTGGTGTGTGTCCTATTTAATGTCTGCATCTCCTTCCAAACCCTGTCCTTCCCCGTCACAGACATGGTATGTTCTCACCTCCATTGCCAAGAGCAGTGGGCGCCAGTCGCATTTGTTGTAGGAGGGACTTGCAGAGTTTTCATCATCCACAGAGAAAAACATGGCAGCTTCTTTTGGAAACCAAAAAACATATTCCACATGTGAGACTTAATCTACTGAATGATGCTTTTAAGAAGATCTCCATCACAGAGGCAGCAACATCTCCCTAAGATGCTGCTTGTATGTCTTCAATGAACGCCGACAGCATGTGTTTCAATGCAACGTCATAAAAGAAGTCTGTAAAAGTTCAAGCACTGAAGTCTGAGCTTTCTGGTTTCTGATTACTTAGTTTGATCCAGGGATAAAACCTATAATGACTGTAGGAGTCACTGAAAAGTACGTCTTTAAAGAGTTCTAAATACAGACAATTTTTCAAAACCTCACTTTAGATAAGAGTTACGCAGCCTGTATTTCCAAAGTACAGGTGGTCCAGGGACACAGGGACCTTGAGCATTCTAACAGTAAAATAAACATGCTCTTCATCCTTTAGAAAATTGCAGGAAGGTTAGGAAGGTCTTCTCCATGGCTGTGGAACACTAGATAATTACACTTTATAGCACATAGCAGATTGCATCCCCAGGGGAAGGGGTAGGCCTCCTGGAGAGAGGGCAGTGAAAGAACCCAGCCTGAGGATAGCACAGAGAACTTCCTAAATTTGAGGGGAGGGAAGTGGAAAGCTTTACAGATGCTAATTTGACAGAGAAGTTCTACAGCCGCACAGTGTGTATAAACAGACCTATGTCACCAACACAGCCCTCAAGACTGCACTGTTCTCTTTTCAGAATCCAAAGTCAGATCTAGTTGTCTCCAAGATCAGTGACCTCCCCCAGTTCAGCCAGTCTGGCTTAAATGAATATCTCCTCTGTGTTCCTAACATCCAGAAACTACAAACACCGTGACCATGTGTGCTTTTCTTTCTCCCAGTCTAATCAAGGGCTACGTTGGTTCAGGCCATCTGATTTTTCTCTGTATCCTTAATACTGAGAAAAAGGCTTTTTATTTATTTATTTATTTTTAACTTTTATTTTAAGTTCAGGGATACATGTCATATAGATAAACTAGTGTCATGGGGGTTTGATATGCAAATTATTTCACCACTCAGGTATTATGCCGAGTACCCATTAGTTATTTTTGCTGATGCTCTCCCTCCTCCCACCGTCCACCCTGCAGTAGGTCTCAGTGTCTGTTTTTCCCTTTATGTGTCCCTGTGTTCTTATTATTCACCTTCCACTTAGAAGGTAGAACGTGTGGTATTTGGTTTTCTGTTGCTGTGTTAGTTTGCTAAAGATAATGGCCTCCAGTTCCATCCATGTGCCTGCCAAGGACATGATCTCATTTTTTTTTATGTCTTGATAGTATTATATGGTATATACATATCACATTTTCTTTATCCATTCTACAGCTGATGGGCATTTAGGTTGATTCCATGTCTTTGCTATTGTGAATAGAGCTGCAGTGAACATACACCTGCATGTGTCTTTATGATAGAATGATTGCTGTTCCTTTGGCTACATAGCCAGTAAAGGGATTGCTGGCTTGAATGGTAGTTCTGTTTTTAGGTCTTTGAGGAATCATCATACTAGTTTCCTCAATAGTTGAACTAATTTACACTCCCACCAAGAGTGTATACATGTTCCATTTTATCTGCAACCTTGCCAGCATCTGTTGTTGTTTGATTTTTTAATAACAACAATTCTGAGTAGTGTGAGATGGTATCTCACTGTGGTTTTGATTTGCGTTTCTCTAATGATCAGTGATGTTGAGCTTTTTTTCATATGATTGTTGGCCACATGTATGTCTTATTTTCAGAAGTGTCTGTTCATGTTGTTTGTCCACTTTTTAATGCAGCTGTTTTCTTTTTTCTTTCTTTTTTTTTTTTGGAGCTGTCTTATTGTAAATTTGTTTAAGTTGCTTACAAATGCTGGATATTAGATCTTTGTCGGATGGGTAGTTTGCAAAAAATTTCTCCGGTTTTGAAGGTTATCTGTTCACTCTGTTAATAGTGAGAACAAGGCCTTCTAAGTAGCACGAGGCTCTTCATGAATGAAGGGCTCAGGAAATAAACTCATTAATAAATTAAGAGAAAATGAATGGATTGTGGAAACTGACATGAAATGAATGCCTTTTTACTGAACTCTATCAAGCAATTCTGAAACAGACAACCTCAGTTCTTGAGATCAGCCTTTCAGTGACCTGGCAGAACATTACCTAGTTCAGGCACCAGGGAGCACATTTTACCTGCCTTGTCCCACAGCTTTTTCATTTGCACAGTGGGCTTCGGATAATGCGTTTTAACTGGACACTTCAGGAAGGTAGTAATGAACAGTTGAGAGTCACTGAAGCAGGGACATCTTGCCAACACAGCACCTGGCACTTTGCCGGGGGAAAGCTGGGAGAACTGAGAATGAGCCAGATGGCACTTACAGGGTGACCCCAAACCTGACACGTTCAGTTCACAGAAGAACCCTTTTCCCTAAAAACAACAACAACGACAACAACCAGAATGAAGTATACGATCTCACATTTCCATTAAACACTGTAATTTAACTGAGGATCCAAACACGGGTTAAAACAACATGAAATGAGAAAAAGAACAAATAAGAATGGAAAGAAATTTGAGAAAACCAAAAGGGAATTGGCCTTTCAGCAGGTTGTATCCTAAAAGAGCAATATAATGTATCCAAAATAATGTGTTAACCACTATACTCACTGCACACCATTGCATAGGAAATAGTGCAGGTTTGTAGCTCACAAATAGAAAATGGCAAAACTTAGGCTGTGTTTTTCAGAAGATTAGGGCTACGTTAATTCATTTTATCTTTATTTCAAAATCAACACCTGTTATTTTCTTTCAGAAGGGAGTTCTTGGCTCACAAGCTAATTGTGTAATAGCCTTCACAAGCTTCACACTTCATTCACATCAACAACTCTTACATTTAATCTTTATGTCATCCACCATTTTACCCACATTCTCAAATGTTAGAAGGGTGGATTTCAAAAGCAATTTTTTGAGACACATTTACCTGGGTGAAAATGATTGACCTCTGTATGAAAAGATTAAAGGTTGAGACTAATGGTAAAGTGAGAAAAAATATATCCTGTATAATCTGAATTTGAAGACTAATATTCCTAATATATAAAAATTATGAATCAATAATAATAACCTAATAGACTAAGAAAAATTAAAATCAAGCATTATTCATTATGGAGATACAAATGTTTATTAAGTCTATGAAAATAAATTCAACCTCACTAGTAATTTAGAATAATGCAAGTTGAAATTAAATGATGCATGTTAAAGGAAAATAATGCAAGTTGAAGAAACCAATGCAAGTTTTTTTAATCCATTATTTTAGTAAGAGACATAATAGTTGTCAATATCAACTATGATGTTGTGATTTTCCAACACTACTAGTAGGAGTATAAATCAGTGCAGCTTTTTATTGAAGAGTAATTTGGCATTATTAAGTGCTAAAATATGTATTCTCTAATTTTAATATAGTTCCTTGGTACACATTGTAGAAAAATATTTGCACATTTGCATTAGAAGGCAAATAAAAGTATGATGAGTGAGGTATTACTTGTTTTAAAAAATTGAAAATATTCTAGATGTCTATTAATAGGACAATTGTTAAATAAGGCTTAACATACGTAAGTCATGGAATAATACACAAAGATGGAGATTTATATGTATTGAATTTTTTTAAAAAAATTATAACACATTGAATGAGAAAAAATTAACTTATATTTAAGAATATAAAACAAAAATTTACATTTATGAATACATAAAAAGCTATGTACATGCAATAAAAGAAGAAAAGCTAGCAAACGGAACATTAAACTCAGGCATCTAAGGAACCTAAGACAGAATGGTGTTAATGTTGGAGATGCTTCTTTCTCTCCTGTGTATGTTTTACAATAAGAATGCAATTCCTGAGTAGCTCTAATTAATATACATTTATTTATGGTTAAAAATGGCCATAGGACATTAACAGAGGAGAATATATAAATGAATATAAATCAGATAATACTTAACATCCCTCTAATATTCAGGTAAATAAAAGCAAAAATAAGTAGATCCCATTTCACCTGTAAGATTCATAAACATATTGGAAGAGTTTGGGGAAAGAGATCCTCTGTTACAAATAGTTGGAGAGAAATGGCTGGACATTTCTGGAGGGTAATTTGACCATAGCTCTCAAACGGTAAATTTTTCTTAGACATTAATCCCTCAATTTCAACTCTAATAATTTCTTTGAGAGAAATACCCACCAACATGTAAAGATATATGCATATAAATGTTTCATGGAGTGCTATGTGCATAGCTGGGGGAAAAAAGAGGTATCCATAAGGCACTGGTCTTTTTACATATGTGCTACAAATCATCATAGTAAAAATAAAAATAAAATCTGAGGATATATAATGTGGAAATATTGGTATGTAACACGTTTACACAGTTGAATAATCTTAATTTCAGTGTACTATTAATTTTGCTAGAAAGA
Organism: Homo sapiens; assembly: GCF_000001405.40. Classification (NCBI taxonomy): domain Eukaryota; kingdom Metazoa; phylum Chordata; class Mammalia; order Primates; family Hominidae; genus Homo; species Homo sapiens. The sequence continues at coordinate 3,870,216 of NC_000008.11, read as the reverse complement.
GAAATATGGTTGACATTTTCTTCTTGACTTTCTGGAAGAACCTCTTTAACCAAGATTCAAATTGTAAAATAATGTGTAATCTCTGTTTTTATTCTACCTGTTTATAGAGTGCATGTTATTAGTAGATAACTTAATAATCATTATACCCAGAGGGTATGCTTACAGTTAAGCAATGAAGAGACGCCTACTTTTTGTTTAATGTATTTCTTTACACTTTTCCTCTAGTTATGTATTATTATTGTAATTTTAAAATATATAGATGACATATAGCTAGCTCACTCTCTTTTGCTTAAGGAAAGGGCTAGTTTTTCCTTTAAGCCCTTCAAGCACTACTGATACAAAATTAGATCAGTAAGGATAATTCATAAAAGCATGGAATGTGATTATTAAGTGGCAGTTGATACGGAAATCTGGCAAGCTCCCATCTTGCCTTCCCTGACATCAAACCCCTGGCCCCGTGTTGCCTGCTAGTGCTTCTGCTGGGGTGGGTCCTGCCAGGATGAGCTTCCCCACATGCTCCTGGCTGCGCGCACCTGTGCACCTTTCCTCCTGTGGCAACTAGAAAGGCAGAACTTTCCCCAGGTTAGCTCAGCGGTGAGAAAGTGCATGTTTTCTCTCACTATTTATATCTGATAGATAGGTTTATATCTACCTGTGAACCAAGTCAGGCACTCTCAGGAAGAAATGATAAAATATTGTTAAGCATATCAAACGCATTCAGCCTCACTAGCCATTTAGGGGAATGCAAGTTAAAACTAAGGTGAGACACGCTTTATGAAGGCAGGACAGGATTGGAGAAAAGGAGTAAACAAAATAAGTCAATTTCATAGACCTATCAGTCTCTATGTATTATATAATTTTATTATACAGGATATAGTATAGCCACAGGTGATACATGCCATGGAGAGAAATGAAGCAGAGAAGGAGAATGTGGTGTGTCACAATTTGAGAAAGAGACCCTTGAGTGAAGGCATGCAGTGCTAGGCAGAGCATCAGAGAAACACCGAGGTGGAGGGCCTAGTGCAGAAGCCTCAGGGTGCAGCACATCTGTGTATTTCAGGGCACGGTGTGGAGACAGGTGGAGCTGGAGCTCTTGGCTTGTGAACAAGGAGAGTGACACTAGACACCAGGTCCCTAAGGTCATGTCAGCGTGGCAGCCACGAAGGGACCCTGAGGGCACTGTAAATATGCTTGCAGCTGTTACTTCGAGAGAGCTGGAAAGCCATCGGCATCATCTGAGCAGAAGAGTTATGTGACTTAGGTTGTAATGGAGTCTCTTTGGCTCTGGGGTGTTAGCCAGGGAGGATGTTGGAAAGATGGAAGCAAGCACACCAATTAGAAGACGATGGTAACAGTCCAGCCTGAGAAAATGGTGGCTTGGATGAGCACATTGGCCATGAAACACGACTGATCAGATTCTACTTATATTTTGAAGGTATAGCGAACAGAAATTGCTGATGTGTTGGATGTGGGTTGAGAGAGCAGAGGGTCAGGAGTGCCCCCAAGGCTTTTAGGAAGGATAACGCTGCATTCATGAGATGGAAAGATTGCAGAGGTATGAGTTTGAGGAGAAATATTAGGAACTTGTTTATATGCATGTGAGGTTCGGGTCCTATTGCGTGAGCTGAGTGGGCTGCTGGACCCTCAAATCCACATTTCAGAACAGGGTTCAGGCTGCAGGTACGCATTTGGGAATTGGTGGTGTTGGTAAGTGTTCTTTGTGTCTGTTGAATGAGAGAGCCCCTTCCTTTTGGCTGATGCAGGTGGCATGGGATCGGCTTACAGCTGCCCCCCAGCTGCCCTTGTGTGGACCATCTGCACAGCAGGGACCTGTGGCCTGCAGATGGCACTACTGGAGACTTTAGGGAGAAAGGAAGGCAAAAAATAAATGTCTCCGGGTGAAAATGAAATCTCTCCTGCAAGCAGGGCGACTGAAAAGGCACACTTCAGAGCAATGGTCATAAAGTTAAATGGAGATGCCCCCCCATCCTCGTTCTGGGTTTTTTCTACAGGCGCAGTACATCCAACTGCACCAGGTGTTGGTTCAGCAGAGTGGAGTGGAATTAGGGCTGTGATTTCTGCCAAGCAGAAAGTGCTAGGATAATTTAAATACTGTGCATGCAAGGAATTAAGCATCATGAGAGATATGGCAATGGGTGATAGGGACAGATCAGGGTGCAGGGCCAAATCAGGATTGGAGAAGGAAGGATGAGGTGTGTGACCTGAGAATCTTGGGTCTCCCACAGTGACATAAACACCAGAGAAGACATACAAAGATTGGCTGTAAGGGTGTCCAGGCAGGAGGCGGAGGTGACACAGAGTCTTGGGAACGGTTCAGGAAGATCTGGCCAGTGGTCCATGCTTCTTCAATCCTGGAAATGGAGGCCTAGAATTGAGGGAAGGTCAGTTGGAATGTGAGTCATACTCCACATATACAGGAAGCTGCCTGGCCCTGGGAGGAGGGTTCCTGTGCCAGTGTTTGCATAAGCAGCTATTATTATTAACAACTGCATGAGTTAAGTGTAGTACATGGTTCTAGGTTTCTGTGAAGATTAACCAAGATACTATACATAGATATAGATATATAAATATATAGATATATGTATAGATTAAAATTTTTGTTTAGGTTTCAGATATCCACACAGTTCATTAGAGGATTAGACGTCTCTCACTAGCCTTCTGTTGTCTGGGACACATTAAAACATATCTGTTTTATTCTGACACCCTCTTCAGCAGGTCAGATATATTTTGTTTAGTTATTTAAACCATAGCCAGGAAGACTCAAGGGCAAATACTCCTGAGTAAGTATCCTTAAAAGAAAAGAATGGAAATTTGGGGTATTATAAAGTTCAATAGAAGAGACATCCAGTCTGTCCTCCTAGGCTACCCTACTGTTTGTGGTAATCATTAGACTGGTCATGGTTTTCCTTATATTCAAGATATGTAATGGTATGGTCTTGCTTCTTACACTAGCTAGCTAGTTACTAATTTATTCATGCATTAATTCACTCTTTTGTCTATATATACAATTGACAAGACCAAAGACCAGTGAACTATTCTGCCTTTTTCCACCACTCAGTGGAAAAACAGTATAGTAGAAAAAAAATCAATCAATCAAAATGGTTACAATATTTTTAAAAAACTGGTTGGAAAAGTAAAAACTAAATAGCAATTCTACAAGTGCATTAATTTAATGCACAGAATTAAAAATATTGGCTGACTCACCACTTTTATGGTATAAGCAAAATGGTTTTTCATGAAAATGGTGGTACTTACAAATCCATACATGCATATGTCCAGTGGCAGTATGAAAACATCACCATGTCTTGCAGGAGGATTTGCAGCAGAACTGGAGTCCTAGTAACATGGTAAATTTAGTTGATTAATACCGATTTGAAGTCCTTCATATTAAGGATTTGTGAGCCGTTATTGAAGGAAAGAGTCCTCACTTTGCATATGTTTGTACCATCAGGAGAATCCCTGTGGCTTTGTAGTGGCCAAGGACTACCTTATGGAATAGCTTTGAGAACAGCTGTATCTATAGAAATCTTATAAGCTTATTATTTCCTGAATCACATTCCAAATAGTGACTTTGGGTTTGAGGGATGGAAAGAAGAGACTATAAGGTGTTTTCAGTGGCTAGTGTCATCACCAGAACTAAAAAGGTCATTTAAAGACCAAAACGTACACATTAGATCATGATGCTTTACCACGTCAGGCACCCAACAGGAAATGTGTAAAATATTAATATCACAAGCACACACTATTTAAACATATCAGGTAATCAAATTGGAAACGCTTCCATTTACTAAACCATATGAGCTAAGCAATGGTAAATGAAATACATGAATGTTCTGTATTCCAGTAAAAGGACAGAAATGCCAATCCCCAGGGTTCAGCCAGCCTTTTACAGCAGCTTCCTTTTAAGAAGTATTTATTTAAAAATGTTGTTTATAGGTAATTACAAATGGTATTCAAAATCTGTGGCAACAAAACTAGAATTAGGAATAATGCTTTACTCATTTAGGCTTAGATGTGTATGTAGTTGTGAATTAAAACCTTAATGTTATATCTTCAGAGTATTCATAAACACTTACATATGGAATAATGTAATCCTTATTTGGAAGAAAGCTCATGAATAGAATTTTTAAAGACATTTTACTTGTTCTTTTTAAGTGTTACTGTGTTTTCTGGTGGCGATTTATCTCACTAACATGACTACAGATGATGGTGAAATTCCTTTCACTTTTCATTATTTTAATTACATTCCCAGACACGAGGGAAACATGAGGAGTTAATTAATGTGGTTTTGACAATTACTTGTAAATATTGCTATTTATAATTCTAGTATACTATAACACGTGTTTCCAGCTCAAATGGAGCAATGTGAGAAGGGTATTTACAGTATACCAAAAAAAGAGGCACTTATTTTAGAGAAATATGACGGAAACCTAGCAAATAGCATTACTCCATTAGCATGTAAGCTGTGAATGGAGATTTTGTTGTTGTATTTACTGCTCCGTTGGAACCTAGAACAGTGCCTGGTACTTAACAGGACTGATGGAATTTCATCGATGATGTGAATAAATACATGAAGGAATAACACATTGGCGCTTTGCTGATGAGAGGCACCTGAATTCTCCTGCGGCTTCCCACTGTACGTGCCTGCTTGGTCCCTCATTGCCTCCACCCCCAACTCTTTCCCCCACTATTGTCACCCTTTTCTGATTTCCCAGAGCACCTCCCATCTCTGAAGAGCACCTGTGACTCTGCCTCTGAGCCCTCACAGTCTCGCTTGCAGGCAGAGCTGTGCAAGGAGCCCAGGGACTGAGGGAATGTGTTCAGTTGCAAACCCAGTTTCATACCAGCAAGAGCATTTCAGAGTTTACAGATTAAAAATTGAGTGCGTATGTCACATTGAAGTACCGCTCTCTGAGATGTGAGGCAGAAGTAACTTACTGTCCCTACTTGGTTGGTAGTTGAGGACAGAGATGATGACTTATGTCTGTCATTTTCCAAGATGTTAAATATCAGAGGTGCCTCTACACCCAAGGAATCGGAGCCTGAGCTGGAACACACACAGAACAAATGATGAGAAAGTGAGGCCAGAATAGTGTGTGGAGTATTGTTACCAAAGTAACACTGTTGGCATATGCCGAGAAATAGAATCAAAGCATGTCTTACTTGACAAATTAGGAGATTAGCTAGCACCTCAACCAGACTAAAGCAGATGATGTCATGCTGCCAAAACTGGAAGGAAAAGCTGCTCGTTCACCCAGAACAGAAGTCCGAGACCACGTAGAGCAATACTTCTTGTTTTACTAAGTATACAAAGAAATTAATTATTTAATTCTAGTCTGGCCAAAACTAGGAAAATGTCTAGGAAATGTTTCTGTATAACAAATAGCTCTTTAGACCCTGAAGAGCTATAATAACATCTAGTTAACCACGATGGTGCCTATAGTTTAATTTACTAGGAGAGGAGGGGAGTGTGGAATTACCATAATGTTCCAACCTCCCAGTAGGGCACCTTCATCAGTCGAAAGTGTCTTCTTCAGGGGAACATCACACACCGGGGCCTGTTGTGGGATGGGGTTACTGGGGAGGGATAACACTAGGAGATATACCTAGTGCTAAATGACGAGTTAATGGGTGCAGTACACCAACATGGCACATGTATACATATGTAACAAACCTGCACGTTGTGCACATGTACCCTAAAACTTAAAGTATAATAAAAAAAGTGTCTTCCTCCCTCTTTTCCTTAACCCCTTCTCATACTGTATTCCTTTCTTCTCATGCTTTTTCTCACCTTCATCTTTGCACCTTTTGATTAAAAATGTATATACCTGCCCCTTCTGTGGTTATCTATGCATCGTCTTTCATAACCATAACTGTCCTCTCATAGGAAAAGAGCTCAACAAATATTGGCCAAATTATTGAGTTATGATTCCCACAGGAGTTTAATTTTAACAACAGTCTATGGGTTTGTATGAGCAAGGAGTATTTCTGAATTATTATTCTGTTTTTATCATTTAGCAGATTTCCTATAATATTAAAGGTGATCCATAAATGCTGGTCACATTTTTTTTTAAAATATCAACAGCTTTAAAAATCAGGTGAAAATATTGTATGTTTACTTAAATATTATCTGGGCCATCTTCACATTCATCTTCACTAAGATTTGCAAACCTGTTTACTGTTTGTTTCTGCCTTATGAATTTTCTACAAACCTAGACTGCAGCCTCAGGAAAAAGAATCAGACCTCTAAACCTCTGGAGGTCATTTTTCCATAAGCTTCTAAAGGATACGTGTCAGTTTTATAGTCATCATACGAATCTTTGAAACTGAAAGAAGTGGAAGAAATTAAACTCTGTTTTTTCTGATTTTTTTTTTCGTCATGAATAATAGAAGATTGTAGAATTTTTAAGCAGAAAAACTAGTAGAAAATTCTCTTCTGGGTAGTTTAACATTTGAAATGAAAACAAAATCTGAATTAGAGACCATGTATGTTATTCTTTTGTTCACTGAGCATATATGAGAAATGTGTGTGTGTGTGTTAGAATATTTGTAACTTACAGTAGCTGAAGTGAACAAAACATACATCCTACTGCAAGGTTTGATGTCAGGCTTAGATTATATTTTTGTAAACAGTGCGCTGTGGTCTGAATGTTGGTGTCCTCCTAAAATTTGAATGTTGGAGCCCAATATCTGATGTGGTTCGTATTTAGAGGCAGGGAGATGGGGTCATTGGGAAGAGACTAAGTCACGAAGATTCTACCCACATGAATGGTATTAGCACTTTTTTTTTTTTTTTTTTTGAGCAGAGTATCATTGCTGTAGCCTAGGCTAGAGTGCAGTGGCACGATCTCAACTCCTGCAACCACCATCTCCTGGGTTCAAGCGATTCTCCTGCCTCAGCCTCCTGAGTAGCTGAGATTACAGGTGCCTGCCACCAGACCTAGCCAGTTTTTGTATTTTCAGTAGAGATGGGGTTTCACTATGTTGGCCAGGCTGGTCTCAAACTCCTGACCTCAAGTAATCCCTTGACTTGGCCTCCCAAAATGCTGGGATTACAGGCATTAGCCACCGCGCCCGACCTTCGCACCTTTAAAAAAGCTTGAGGGATCTCTCTTGCCTCTCCTTCCACTTTGACGATGCTGCAGGGAGGTGCCGTCTTTGAGGCAGAGACAAAGCAAATCTTACCAGATACCAAATCTGTTGGTACCTTGATATTGGAATCTCCAGACTCCAGAATTGTGAACTATAAATTTCTGCTGTTTAAAAATCCCCAGACAAATGTAATTTGCTATAGGTCCTGGAATGAACTAAGACACAGTAATAATAGCATAAAACTAATGACCAAGAGATTTTGACACCTGCCCTAACTTGCCATTTGAGGGCAGGCAATGCTGTTGTGATAGGCAGTTAACTTCTCTGTGTGTAATCTCGTCAGTGGCAAAACAAACATAATCATTTCTCCTAGCCTCCCTTACTCAGTTGTTTTGGAGATCATTTGAATTCCTATATAGAAAAGCACGTTGAATGCAAATAACCAAAGAAATATTTAGAGATTTGGTTTATTCAGCAAATAGAGAAATATAGTATGGCCATGTATAAGCAAATTCTAGCTTAAGTAAAATATACCATAATTACAGGTGCTGAAAATCTCAAAGAAAAGGTGAATTTTATGGTAGCAAACAGTTGTAAGGTCTGGGAAAGGCGAACTTTGAGTTCTGGCGAAAGGCTCACATTTGAATTACGAGAAGGAACACTTATTCCAGGAGAATGTAATGAAAGACAAGTGAGAGAAAAATTCAGGAAGAGAAAATGAAAGGGCCACATCAGAGGATAAATCTGAGGAAGCAAAGTGAGGTCACCTGGTGGACGCCCTTGGGCAGATGACAGAAAGGAGAATGTAAATTCGTTCTAAGAGGTAATGGTAAGTTATCACAGTCCCCTAAGTGGAAGCTGTGTATGAGGTAGGTTAAGGCAGTTATGTGTCATAATTTGTAAAAGAGTTAGAAAAACCTGCTATGATGTTGTATAGGTAGAAGGCAATAGAGAACTGAATTAAATTCACAGCAGGGCAGATTAAAAAGTTGAAAAAAATGATAGTGTATTTTCACTGATGGCAAAAAGAAAGGCACATGGGAGAGAAAACTTTGATTTAGCAAGCAATGGTTGGGGCATGGAATGATTGTGTTGGTTTTAGATGTTCCACAAGATATAAACACATTCATCACAGAAAACAGATATTAAACCAGGGTACAAAGATTGACTTTCCAGGAGCAAGGAAATCCTGGAATGCAGGCATGTTGGATGCTATGACTTCCACTGTGGGTTTTCTTAGGCTCCATTAGACATTTAAAAGCCAGTGGCTTCATAGGTCACATCTGTAATCGGCACACTTAGAAAGATAAGCAGACAGGATACTCAGTGGGCCAGTAGAAAAGTTAGGATATTTCTTTTGGTAAAATCTTTATAGCAGACAAAACACAAAACGAATAAAAACCAAACCAAACAAAAAACCCTATTCTCTGGACCTCCAATAACAGGAGAGCCATATACATCTCCAAGACAACAAGCTTCACCTAGATGAATGTGAGGTCACTTCAGCTCAGAAACCCACATACCATAGGAGCCATTCCCAAGTAATGCTCACGTGGAGTTAAATCCCAGAATTCTCCCAAGAGGCATCAGGTGCAGGTTCAAAGGCACAGCCCTCACGAGTCCAAATCTATGGCCTCTCAAATGCTATAGGTTGTTCATTCATAGTACCCCCAGTCAGATGCAATTTACCAATCAGGGTTATTTTCACCATGAACAATGCTGTCTGCTAAGACAGCTCATATTTTACTTTTATCAGAGTTGTGGAGCCCGGCAGTTATGCCAGCCAAGATAAAATATTCATGTAGGACAAAGGAAGGTTTAATGATCTTCTCAAGTGCAGGTACATAGTACGTTGGTCTCCGTTAGAAACCCACAGGCGACTGCAATCACATTAGACAACTGAACCTCGTTGCCAAGAAACAGGTGAGGAGTCATGAAGGAACCAAGGACAGTGTGTTAAAGGTGTGTTTTTGGCATATGATAGAAAGCCACGTCCTGTTTTCGAGCTCACTAGAAGTTGGCATTACAGCTGATACTGAAAAAGGAGGGGAGAGGAGCAAATTAAGAGCAGCAGTTCATACAAGGAAAACTTACATATCTGTCATACTTTCCATGCTTTGTCTTTCATTTGTCATTTCATTTTGCATGAAGTATATCAACTAGAAAATATATTTTAAAAATAATTCTATAGTATAGAGACTAGATTTCTAGTGCTAACCTGAACTTAAAGTGAACTTTGGATCTTTTCATGATTGTATATTTTTCTTAGAGAACACGTTTGTTCACCAGAAAACTATGGTTAGAGTTAAGTGTTGCAGAGTAAAACAGCTCTACTCTCTCCCTTCAAACTTACCTGGGTTCAAAATGTGGACTTTGCTATTAGCGTGTATTGCATTTAGTTCATCTTACAAAGTTCTGTGGTCTTAAGAATAAGAAAAATAATAATTAACCGGATTATGGTGAAAATTAATGGACTGTAACTAATAGTGTCTCTTATGTTCATATATGATGTGTAATATGGTTAGCAATACATATGCGTATTTTCTGATATCATTGGTAAATCCAGGCCACCAGAGTAATTTATGTACAAGGTACCTTGCATAAAGGAACTTCAAGTACATTTTAAAAACTATATTAGCAAACTCCTACATTCAAATAGGAAAAAAAAGTTTTATTGTTTTAGTAACATAGAAACATTGAGTCCATTTTGACTGATGATTTTTTTAATATATCATAAAATAAAAATGAACTGAAATTGCCCTATACTTGCTGGCTGTGTTGAAATTCTAAAAGATCTTTGTTTTTATGGACGTTTCCCAAGGGCAGAGTTCTCAGTAACTTCACAATGGTCTGACTGAAACAGAGTAGGCAGTTGGAGAACACGACCTGGTGCTGTTCCTACTTTCATATGAATCACTCAAACTTTCTACTGCCTGCTCTATCAAATGAGGGGTTAATATGTATTAGATTCTAAGCTTCAAAGGGGATCAATATGAAGGCAAACTTTTTAAAGTGTGACCTATTATCCACAACTAACCATACTGCAAAGCGCAAGGGCATGACCCTCCACAAGCACATTCTTACTTCTCAAACAAACTCCAAGTTTGGGTTTCCCAAAACCACCCTCAGGCTTGAAAATTCACTGGGACTCATGGAATTCATGAAAAGCTATTACACTCATGGTTATAGCTTATTACAGAAGAAGAATATATGTTAAACATCATCTGAAGAAGAGATGCCTGAGGCTGTACCCAGGAGGCTTCCAAATGTGCAGCTTCTCCTGCCTGTTCCCTGCGGAATCAGGATGCATTGACCTCTGAGCATAAGTATGCAGCAGTATTCAGGATTGTCAGCCAGGGAAGACTGCCCGGGTTTCTGTGTCCAGAGTTATTACTGAGGCTTCACTATGTAGGCACGACTCATTGATTAATTGCCCATATGGTTGAACTCACTCTTCAGGTCAACTGACGTCATGTAAACCAAAGCTCCCACCATAAATAACATGGTTGGTCTTTCTGGCATGACCCAACTTCGCACTAAGATTGTTAGATGTAGTTAGCCTCGCCCTGAAATCCAACTGTGGCCAGCTCCTGCTGTAAACGAAGATATAAGTATGGCAAAGATTCTCCTCCCAGAAACCAAGCACAAAGTCCAGGCATTTCTGAGGTTGGAGCCAAATTCTTTACTACACATCTGTAAACAAAATATATTTCCAAAGATATTTATAAAAAGAAGTATTTCTGGACCTAAAATATTATGGAGAATGAAAGTGACAAAAAATAGGCCGAGCGAATGTAGGTTGCCATGGATAGGTGTTGAAGGAAAACTAGAAAGACTCACCAGTGAGTGGGATTGAATGGCGTTCACTTGAGAAGTTGAATGGTGGCTTTCCCACGTACTCCTCTGCTACGCACATATTTAGAGAGCCTGTTGTGTGTCTGGCACAGTGCTATGCCTGTGTGGAGTAGAGATAGGTTGAATCATAGTACTCAGAGCTTCTGATTGAATGTGCATGGATGAGAAGATGAATATCACATAACACATGAATAATGTAAAATTTCACTTATAATAAGGTCTTTTAGGGAACACTTCATAGCACTATGAAGGTGTGGAGTAGAAGAAGGGATTGATGTCGTTATACTTTAATTCTGCTTCCACTGCTGAAACTGACTTCAACCAACTCGCCAAATCCATTTGTAAAATATATAGATTTACATTGTCACGATAAACCTGATCCTACTGGAGCATTCTACAGAAACAAAAATGCAACATGCAAGTCATGTTATTTCCCGATAACATTAGAAGAAATGATTCAGTGCTTTTAAATCCTAAATAAGTTATACAGGAGTGTAACATCCAAAGTTATTTTGAAAATGTAATCTGATTTATGGACTATTTTATTTGGGGTATTACGAACAGAAAAAAAAAAAGTTCTCCTGAAGATTATAACAGCATTAAATACATAGAAAAAGGTAATGTTTTAAATAGGCCTTCGAGAACTTGGTGAAAATTATTAATTTAAGACTACTCGTGAAAGTAGTCCATTTATGCAGTTAACACCTTGCTCTATGCACTTTTATTCAAAATTAAGTAGGCCTTCCATTTCTACAAATGGTTGGAATTATTATCTAAAGATAGAGTAGTAGTTTTATATGGCTTAAATGAAACATAGATTAAAAACTGATTTAAAAGGTAAGAAACAGCATAGAATTCATTTTAAATCATTGTTATAAAACCAAGGTCAAGCATGAAATATTTTAAGCATTTTTCTCAAAAGAAGAGCCTTTGAAGTTTTTATTCATATTAATGAAATCCTGAGGGTTTGATAAGGCCCATCCTCATTCTGTGGACTTTATCAAAGCAAAATATTATATAACTTTTACTTTGAATTATGATTTTAAAGAATGGAAATAGAGAGTCAAAAAATTACTTAATTGACAAAAAGCCTCCATTTCTACCTCTAGTGAGAGATAGCTAAGATCGAAGTGATTTGACTATGTTATTAAAATTCAATTGGACAGTCACAAATTGCTATCTTTACAGACACAACCATCAACACATAATCACTAATTTTTCCAAGAACACATGTGCAGAGCAATCTTGTGCAGAGACCGCACCATGCCGAACAATTTTATACAGAGAAGTCACCATGCAGTGTAGGCTTTATTTGATTGGCTGGAAGCCAAAGCCTGGTCAATTTTAAGGACGGAAGCAATCCCTGTTACATATCACGTAATCTCTCACTCAGCAAAGGTAACTCTAGGTATTTTATAAAAGAATAAGCTCTTTTCTACTCTGGCCTGGTGTTGTATCCTTTTCCCCCATTGCATCTCTCTTCACATTTTTACCTATAGAAGCTCTGTCAAAAACTGTCTTTGTAAATGGATCATCACACCTGGTATTTGAAGATTATGAAGAATCTAAGAAGTGTATTAAAATTCCACTCATTCGGACCATCTGTGTCCCCACCCTCTGCTCTGTGAACTCCACCTGGCCCCACCACAAACCTCACGTCTACACAGCGTAGAAACAGAACAGGTGTGGAAGACGACTCTGCCATTTCCAGTGGAGTAATATTAAGCAAATCATCTACTATTTCTGGACTTAGGTATCCTCATATATATAGGTGGGATATTTGTCCAGAAGTTCTCCAAGGTCCCATCTGGCTTGGATTTACCATCACAGTTTTTGTTTTTCACTTGTTATTCCAAATATAGGCCAATCTCTTTAAATCTTAGGAGCTTTGTTTGTGTAGTTTTGTTTAACTTGCCAGGTCTTTCTCACCTCCCTAATTAGGAAAAACCCTCCTAATGCTAAAGGCCCAGTTTAAAGATTACTCCATTTGTAAATATTGCTTGTAACTCTACCACCTAGGTTGTATCAATTAATTACTCCCTCCTGTACAACTTTGGCACTTTTTTCATGAAGCCCATGTAATTATCCCATCATTTTACACTAACTTCGTAGACAACTTTGTCTTAGTTACTTTTATGACTAAAGAGCTGTGTCTTAGTCATTTTTAATTTTTTTTTTCCTGAAGTAAGTGTGGGATATACAAGAAGCCCTCGATATATATTTCTAATCATTGCCATGCCATTACAAAAATTTCTCTGTGCAAATAAAAAAAATTCCAAATTCTACTTGATTCTTTGTACCTGTCAGGATAGCTAGGCTACACTGTGGTAGCAAACCACCTCCAGTCTGAGTAGTTACAAGTGTTCATTTCATGACTCATGTCCATGCTGGATCTGCTGTGGCTCAGTTGCCTGTTCTGTTAACTTTGGGCCCCAGCCTGAGGGAGTAGCCTGTATCTGTAATATGCTCAGTCTCCTTCAGAGACAAAGACACCATGGCAAAGGAAACACAGGCTTTGAAAGATTTTTGAGGAAACAGCATACCCTATCTTCCCAGCTTTCACTGGCCATGTGGGCACTTAGGAGTTCCCTGGGGTGCAAACGTTTACTGCTGCTGCAGGGAGGGGCACCATAGAAAAGGACTATAAAATATGGCAAATTAGAATACAGTCTGCCATACTCAGGCCCCAGTGCCGCATGATGTGGACAGTCGTTGCATTTATTACGTGATTTCCATTTGATCCTCATGCAGTTCTCCTCCTCACCAATTAAGAACTCATAGGGCAGCATGTTAGGAGTAGTATGTATTCGTCTGTTCTTGCATTGCTATAAAGAAGTAGCAGAAACTGGGTAATTTATAAAGAAAAGAGGTTTAATTGGCTCACGGTTCTGCGGGCTGTACAGGAAGCATAGCAGCTTCTGGGGCAGCCTCAAGAAACTTACAATCATGGCGGAAGATGAAGCGGAAGCAGGTGTGTCTTACATGGGCCAAGTAGGAAGAAGAGAGAGAGCAGGTGCTACACAAACAGCTTTTATGAGAACTCTATCATGAGAACAGCACTGGGAGGATGGTGCTAAACCATTACAAACCACCTCCACAATCCAGTCACCTCCCACCAAGCCCCGTCTCCAGCACTGGGAATTACATTTTAATACGAGATTTAGGTGGGAACACAGATCCAAACCATTCCACAGTATGATGTGAATGACATAAAAGTTTGGTAATGTTTGTCTAGATATAAAAAACAAAAAAAAATTGATTAATACTGACAGATATCATGAAACTCAGTAGTAGGGAGATGCTTCTGGGATTCAATATTTATCTCACCCGTACAGATTTGGCAATGCAAGTATAAAGCAAGAAAATAAGACAATGTTTCCAAAGTGTCATAATAAATGCAGTTGAACTCTAAATCAAAGATGTTTACGTAATACCCTACTAGTAAAAATTCTACAGAAAGCTTGTCTTTACTCAGAAAGTCAGCAGACTCTAGGATTTCACATCGCATGACCCATGAAAATGAAATTTTCTCAGTAGAAGAAAATGGTTACGCTGTTATATGGTAAATAACAGTTATGATTAATGAAGTCAGGAAAATTAAATTCATGTTTCAAGCAGTAAACTGTCATAGGAATTAGCATACTCAGTCATCTGGCATTGTACCAACTGAAACTCAGTTAATCAGTATTTCTGTTAAACTCATTAATGCCTACAGTGGCAACATGGCGATTAAAAAACAAGTTTTTTGACATATGAGCTTATATCTTCATAACTAGCACATTTCACCATGAAAATAGAATTTCTGATATTTAAACTTTTTTGTTTTTTATAGAATATGCTTTTATTTTTGTTGTTTTTATTTTGTTCTGTTGTTCAGACTAGCAAATTAAAATTAGGATGTGAGTGTATTTCCTTCTGGATGAAAAAATATAGATAATTTTTAATGCCTCAAGTTTAAATTGCAAAGACAGATTTTTGTATGCAATATAGTAAAAATCTATGGTTATTTCTTCTTTTACAAAATAGCTGTCGCAGCCTTGTCCATTAGTTTTAATAATACATCTTTGTTATATTGAAAGTAATTTGTCTTAATTAGAAACATTATGAAAATAGAGAGTACAGAAAAATATTTAAAACCATAGCTTCAAGAGTAGTAGGTAAATACTCTTGATATTTTGGGGTATTCTCATTTCTCTCAAGCTCTCTGCATATGCATGTTTTTGTGTTTATTTCCGAATGTGTATGGCTGTATGGATTACTGGGCCTGGACATTTGTGTGTATGTATGCTATGTTTTTCCATTGAGCATCACGTTCTCAACATTGTTACATGTTAGAAATGCTTTGCGAGTGAATTGTAATGTCCATATAATATTTTACTCTGAAATGGATTAGAATTGATTTAACAATTCCCTGTTTTTGTTATGTTTAGTAATATTATAATCAACAGCTCGATATGAATTTTGATCACCACTTCTTAATCGATCTTTTTTTTTTCTTTTTTACCCCCTCTGGAGTTTCTCTTACTCATTTCCCCCGCTGTCTCATCTTCCCGACTCCCTTCTCGCCCACTCTCCATCCCCCTCTCTTCCACATTGTCCAGATTCTATATCATAAGGCCTGACAATGGAGCTACCAGATTTAGGAATCTCCTTGGGTGAGGGAGTTCCAGTGCAGGGAGATAGAAAAGCTAAGTAAGCAGAAATGAAACTGCCCATAACCCGTGCAGTTAAGCCACTATGCCTGTATTATCTGTATCTCAAAAGTTAATACAGCTATAACGTGTGCCAAGTAATTTTGAAGTTGTACTGTTTGGATATTCTTAAACAGTAGCATTAAAAAGTCACTGAAAATATGATACTTTAATTCATTATCTGTGTTCTTAAAATCAAAAGGAAAAGAATTTATCTGAAAAAAGACTACAAAATAAAAAGGGCAGTGCACACTACTAAAATTTCACCTTACAAGAATTATTGATCATATTTTGGAGTTAAATGTATTACTCCTGAGATTTTAAGAAAGTTTCACATGTTTTAAGTGTTCCCAAAGCATGAGAATTGGTCCATTTCCAAGACGTGTTTTTTTTTTTTTATTATTATTATACTTTAATAGAGTTTATATATATAAGTATAATATATAACTATATAAAGTATAATGTAATTTTTCTTTAGTATATTATATGCTAAATATAATATACATATACTTTAGTATATTATATTTAATATATTTATAATATTTTATATGTTATGTATCATATATTAAATATATAAATATATTGACATGATATATTTAATATATTAATATATTATACTTTAATATATTAATATATTATACTTTAATGTATTAATATATTAAAGTATAATATATTAATATATTAAAGTATAATATATTAAGTTTTAGGGTACATGTGCACAATGTGCAGGTTTGTTACATATGTATACATGTGCCATGTTGGTGTGCTGCACCCAGTAACTCGTCATTTAGCATTAGGTATATCTCCTAATGCTGTCCTTCCCTGCTCCCCCCACCCCGAGGTGGTTTCTTTACTGAGGCTTATCCAACTGCACACTGCCACCTTCTACACTAGGGAAGATGGTCCTTCGGAGGAGCATTGCTCACAGGGGCACAAGGTCTCCTTCTTTTTTCATAAGTGCCTTCTTTTTTATTTAACTTATTTTTTTCATAATCACTTTCTTACATAAATATTGATTGAGCATCTTCTAGTAACAAGGCAGTCATATTGATGCTTGAGAAGTGTCTGTGAACAACGTAGACAAAGATCCTTGCCTTCACAGAGTTTACCATTTCCTGGGAGTAAATAAGAAAATACATTTTTAAAGTAAATTATAGAGCGTGCTATACCAATGCATTACATTACATAACAATACCTTTTTAAAGTAAATTGTGGAGCATGTTATGAAATAATAAGTGTCAGGTGAGAAGAAAAATTGATCAGGGTATGAAGATCACAAAGAAAACTCACAGCTTTCTCCTGAGCCTCAGGAATGAATCCCCAAAAGGAAGAACCAACAAAGAAGACTGAAAACATGCAATCGTGAAGGAAGGGAAGCAGCATCTCAGAGGAGTGTCCTTGAAGCCAAGGGACGCGGGCTCAGCCACCTGCTGCCACTGCTGCTTTTGGATCAAGAATGATGAGGTCAGGGTGGCAGGCATTGGATGGAGTGACGTGGGTTGCTCGACTGATGACATGAGGACGGGAGATGTAGTTGGATGTTGGGGACGAGGTGATGTCAAGTCAAGAACACTCTTGGGGAGCCTTGCCATAAAGCGGTGCAAATAAATGGAGCAATATTTAGTGAGGAAGGTGGGATCAAGATAAAATATTTTAAAATGAGAGAAATAGGAACCTGCGTGGATGCTGGAGGGATTGATTCTGCTGAGAGGAATCCCTGGTGGGTTACAGAAAGCGGAGAATTGTTGAAGCGTGCGCTTGGAGGAGACAGAAGAGGCTGGAATGGATCCTACAAACCTGTGCAGCGGGAGATGCAGACGCTTACCTGACCCTCCATCTCTCCCGTCCCTCACAGCCTCCAAAGGCTCCTCCCCACCCCCATCACCATTCATCTTGGCCTGCCTCAGTTTCCCCTTGGTCACTTTGATGAAGCCAGGATTCTGCTTTTGTGAATGCTGAGATAGCTGACACGAGTAAGTCCTCTACTCCATCCCTCCTCCCACCTTCCTCAATCCCTAACACCATCTACTATGTTTTCTGGAATTTATCGTCAACTGTCAGCATCTTCTATATCCCAGCTTATTCTCTGAATGCAGCCCTGCAGCCCTACCCTCTTCCCGACGTCTTGACCAGCAGCACAGGGGAGTGTGGTTCACTGTACATGCTCATCCACTTGGCTGGGAGTAGAGAGGGTGTCCCTTATCCTGCACTGCTTCCTTCGGGCCATTCTCCCTTGCTCCCTACAAACCCCACCTCTGATTCTGGGGCAGGAGTTCGCTGCATCCACTGCCTACAGGATGGTTACCACCTCCCCACATCTGGTGCATGTTCCTGCGCCTCCATTCCCAGTCCTTGAATTTAGGGACATACTCTCCGTACTTCCACTAGATTCTTGTAGAATCAAGTATTCTTATAGAGTATTTGTATCGATGGTTTTTGCAACAACCTGAGCCTCTGTTTCTTGAATTCCTTTTCTGCAAAGATCTCCTCCAGTCTGCCTCAACCATTCTTATTTTTCATACAGGTCCAGGGAACTTGTCCTCACCGGTGATTGCAGCCCCTCCATGCTCTCAGTTTTATGAATTATTCTCTCTAACCTGCTATCTCTCTAGCTCACATATTCTTCAATGCTCAGGCCCCCAGTACTTCTACCCCGCCAGAATCTCTGATCCATGGAGCCCACTGGCTTTGCATGGCCATGTCTGCTCCCACCCGACCCTCCTGGCGCCCTCAGTCTCTCATCCTTAGAACCACGTGTTCTACTCACACCTGACTTGTGGTCACTTCCTTATACATTCCCTCTTCATTCCTCACCTTCTTGTTCTCTCTCTTTCCTTTAATTATTTATCTTCTGCTTTTTTCTCTTTTCTTCTGCTATTCACCCTTTTCTTTGTTTCTTATTGTCTATCACCTAAAGCTTAAGTTAGCAATGGATGTTTTTTTCTCCAGTGAAAGTAGAGACAACCCTGCCCTCCCTTGGCCTGCAGCAGGGAGTTGCTGCTCAAGGTGCAGAGGCTCACCTTTCAGGGACCACCTGATCAAACAGAGCCAAAAAGTCTCAAGACACTAGGTCTTTCTTTTTGTACTTTTTCCCTTGAGATAATTGATGAGTAGAAGTGCAATACTCAGCACTGAGAAATTGGTAGTGCTACATATGTCCATGCCAAAAGAGATAACAAAAGTGGTTCAGGGATGGCCATTTGGGGAATGGATGGGCTATCAAGTTGGAATTTCCCACTTTTATGTGTGTAATGTCAATATGAAAAGACCAGTCCCTAAAGACTTTGTGTTGCCCTGATATGCACCCTTGTCTAGATGCAAATTCATTATTTCAAATATTCTACCTTCTAGCATAATGAGCAGGCTCATGCTTTGAAAACTGATATCATAATATATCCTGTCACAAATTAGCTCCTCAGAAATCTTATTTTACATGGAAAACAATTCATCTTTAATGATATCTAGAATTATACCTAAATAGATTTGAAATATTCCTTCTACATTCATTTCTACAAATTGTTATGTGAGCATCACTGCAGGAAAAACACATAGATATTTATCTAAGCTGAAGCACTTATTATACTCATCTGTTATTTTATATAACAACAAGTTAAAAGAAGTAATTCTTATTTCTTTTAAATTAGAAAACTTTAAACTCTGTTTCCTGTGATAATAATGCTGAAATAAATTCTTTCTTGAGTCTGTAGAGTATCTATCATTTTTTATCCTTCAGTAACTTTTGAGCTTTGTTCCTTTGACTGGACTTTCACACACTACTAAGGCACACCCCTGTGATGTGTATAAATGCGAATTTCAATTTTTTTATTGTTTTATTTTTTTATGTTTATTTATATTTATTTTTTGAGACAGAGTCGCACTCTGTCACCCAGGCTGGAGTGCAGTGGTGCGATCTTGGCTCACCTCAACCTCCGCCCCCCAGGTTCAAGTTATTCTCCTGCCTCAGCTTCCTAAGTAGCTGGGAAAACAGGTGAGAGCCATCATGCCCGGCTAATTTTTGTATCCATAATAGAGATGGGGTTTTGCCATGTTGGCCAAGCCGGTCTTGAACTCTTGACCTCAAGTTATCTGCCTGCCTCAGCCTTCCAAAATGCTGGAATTAAAGGCCTGAGCCACCATGCCAGGCTTAATGCGAATTTTGAGGAGTTGAATTCAGTGTCAGTGCTTACAGGACAAAGAGAAAAGGCAAGGATAGTAGAAAGAGTCAGGGGTGAGACCCTATGGAAAACAAAGCTATTGAAACCAAAATAGAGAACACTGTGCACATATTGATTCTATCTTTGGACTTACCTATTGGTTTTTTATTCTTTTGTTTGGAGCCTTTGATATAAAGAAAAGTGTAAACAGTCTCAAAATTTGCCTATACAGCAGACACTTGAAATTCATAAGGGATATGCCCTAAGAATGGCGACATCGCCCAAATGTATCAAAAAGATATACTCTTTGCTGGGTGCAGTGGCTCATGCCTGTAATCCCAACACTTTGAGAGGCTGAGGCTGGTGGATCACCTGAGGTCAGAAGTTTGAGACCAACATCGTGAAACTAAAAATACACAAATTAGCCGAGCATGGTAGTGGGTGCCTGTAATTCCCAGCTACTTGGGAGGCTGAGGCTGGAGAATTGCTTGAACTGGGAGGTGGAGGTTGCAGGAAGCTGAGATTGCGCCACTGTACTACAGCCTGGGCGACAGAGCGAGACTCCATCACAAAAACAAAAACCAAACAAAAAAAGATATACTCTGTCTCACAATATCATCTTTAAAAACATATCATTTCTCAAAAGATATTTGTACAAGAGCTTCATAAAGATTGAGTTTACACCCTGTGTTTCCTGTGCCGATCCTGATTTCAGCAGTTGACAACATCACTAAAATCGACCCCTCCCTGGGGACTTCGACCTTGTTCCCCAGGTAGGCTCCAGCAGACAGGCCCAGGAATCACTGTTCTTTTCCCATGTGGAGCATTAGCTGAACTCATTTGAATTGCAGATACCAATTTCTGCTGAAGTCGTCATTCTAACCGTCGAGCTACTCATTTACTCATTTATTTGATGGATTCCAATTCAGATGTAACTAAAAGGAGTAACCGCCAGAAGGAGCAGGGTTACTTTCTGACATTTAAGCAAGGACTCCCTTTCGTCCGTCCTTCCTTGGCGCCTGTGATGGCAGCTGCGGGTAGTGGACCCCACCTCTCTCCACTTCATCTCCCCAAATTCTGGTGCAGAAACTTCCTTCCCAGTCCGCCCTGTATCTTTGTCTGTGCACATTCACATGCACCCGTGTTCCTGTGGTTTTGTTTCGTTTTATTCCTCTTTTCCATCATTTTCTCATCAACCATTCCCAGGTTGATTTTTCATTCAAACTAAGTTAATGTCATCGTTTAAGACACCTCCATTTATCATCCTAGGCTTCCTTGTCTTTCAGTGTAACTTTCTGTTACAAAAGTATCCCTTCAACTGTTAAATGGAATCTTGTATATTGAGGGCCAAAACTGCATGCCACTAAGTTTAAGTTTATATGAGCAGAGAACCTTCTGTATGAAAGTCCATTATTATAAGATTAACTAGGAGTATATTTTTGCAATAGTATATACATATATATATCATATATATATGATATATGTATATGATATCTAGATATGTATCTTCTTTATATCACTCTTTAGCATTTCTGGACTGAAAAAAATGTGTGCTTTATAAACATCCTTTCATAAAGTACCACTTTTTCTTTAAAATCGCTGCTAATCATTTTTTTCTACAGTACTAAATATTTGACAATTATAATTAGACACATGTAGTTCAGGACCACCTAAAAGACCATTGCATTTTCAGAGATCAGATCACACAGATGGTGCAAGGAGCATAATAGGATCTGAAATGAAAAATCTGGCTTTAAAATTAAATTCCATCTATTCTCTGCACTTTAGAACAGTGAGGGAAATTGAGCAGTTCAAAGTACATATTTACAAGGAGCAGCACAAAGGTGAAATTAAAGTGGTATTGAGTAAATTAAGTAACTTCTCAGGCTTTTGCTATAAAATCGGAAAGTATAAATCCAGATCAATTAACTGAATTAAGTACTCAGAGAACTTAAGTAACTATTAGTTGAAATAACTCCTAATTGTGTTTTAAAAAACACCAACTATGCCTAGAGAAGGCTGAGAAAAAAAATGAGTCTTTTTCTAGTTACTCTCTTTAATAAGATTGCTCCTTTTGATGTGGTGATCTCTGTTGTTAGTGGGATCGCAGTAGAATGAGCTCCCCTGTTGGGCAGAACACTTGGGTCCAGCTGAGGATTTGCAGGTATTAAGGGCAGGATCAATGTCCTGACAACTTCTGATTGTTCCTGACATTGGCTTTTGCCTGTAAAAAATGCCAACTTCTCATCCACCACATACAGCAGTCACAGCAAAAATAAATTCAATATGAGCACTAAGTAAGTATATATATTTAGAGAGAGAGAGAGAGAGAGAAATATCACCAGGATGGTAAGAAGATTAGACAAAATAAAAACATGTGTCAGGAAAGAAGTGCCCCATCCAAGATACACAGAATAGAGATGAATAAATAAATAATAAATAAAAATCATTGGTTGTTTTGAAGCCAAGAAAATATGCACTTACCTTTATTTATAAGGAGAGAAAACGGATAGAGTTGAAAAGTCAGACTAGCTATAGGGAGCGCATAATGGGAGCAAATACATCTAAATCAGTCAAGATGAGGTTTGATGTGCAATTATTGGCACCCAACTATATTTCCTAATCACTTATGATAAAAAGGAACATATGGAGCTGGAACTGCAGTGTCAGGGATTGAGACTTGCTATAAGGAAGCATTCTGTATTAGTTTTTCCATGGCTGAGTAGCAAATGACCAGAAATGCAGCAGCTGAAGGCAGTGCATCCGTGTTTTCTCGGGGCTCCATCGGTCTGGAATCAAGGACCCCTTACCCCAGTCTTCTCTCAGGGCCTCAAGAAGCAGCAGTCAAGGACTCCTTCAGTCTGTGATCTCACCTTAGGCTGGAATTATCTTCCATACTCATATTGATGTTGGCGGAACTCAGCTCCTTGCAAGTATAGGGCTGAGATGCTCAGGACCCCAAAACTGCCCACTGCTCGCAGCCAACTGTCCCTCCCCACACTGGGCAGTGCCTTCCGGGAGGCCAGCAGGAGGGGACCACTTCTGCTTCCTTCTCTGACTTGGAACACTTTTAAGGGTTCCTCTAAGTAGGTCAGGTTCTCCCAAATCAACTGCCTTTGGATTAACTTAAAAATCAACTGATTAGGGACCTTTCTACATCTGCAAAATGTCTTCACCTTTGCCCTGTAATGTAACATAATGGTAAGAGTGACACCGCGCCACCTGTAAGGTTCAGGCATTATTGGTTAAAAGCCAGTCACAGGTCCTGCCCACTTGCAAGAGGAGGAGACCTCAGGAGCATGGAGGTCCTCTTAGGATCCTGCCTTCCCCCACCCTGGAAGGGCTTCTAAACCTGAGACTAGATTGCTAAGAGGCATCATCTGATCTGCTGTGGATCTGGAAAATTCATATTTAAAAAGTAAATCCTGGGGCCAGGCGCAGTGGCTCACGGCTGTAATCACAGCACTTTGGGAGGCCAGGGCGGGTGGATCACCTAAGGTCAGGAGTTTGAGACCAGCTTGGCCAACATGATGAAACCCTGTCTGCACTAAATATACAAAAAATTAGCCAGACGTGGTGGCAGGCACCTGTAATCCCAGCTACTTGGGAGGCTGAGACAGGAGAATCGCTAGAACCAGAGAGGCAGAGGTTGCAGTGAGTCGAGGTTGCAGTGAGTCAAGGTTGCACCACTGCACTCCAGCCTGGGCGACAGAGAGAAACTCCATCTCAAACTAAATAAATAATTAAATAAATCCTTAGGCTAAAGAAATAAGGTGAGTTAATGATAATAACTGCTAATGTTTGTGAATATTTATTTTAAATGTCAACTTAATCTAAAGTCAAACATTTCATATGCTCTAGCCCAATTAATCCACCCACCATTCCTGTGAAATACTTTCTATGCTTATCTGAGTTTCACACGTGAAAAAACTGAGAGGAAGGTTATTTTGAGTAACTGTCATCTTCTTGATCAGTTGGGGCTAATCAAAACTTACATATGTTTATCTATTTCACATGTAGAGTCATGCACCACATAAAGACATTTTAATCAGCTATGGACCATGTAAATAAAGGTGGTTGGATAAGATTCTCATGGAGCTGGAATATTCCTATCACCTATTGACATGGTAGCGATCATAATGCCATAGCGTGGTGCATTGTGGACGTATCTGTGATGATGCTGGTGGCAACAAACGTATAGTGTGTTATATAAAAGCCTAGCACATACACTTATGTACCATGCATAATGCTTGATCCTGATCATAAACAACCATGGTACTGGTTTATATAATTACTATACTTTTTATTATAGAAGTCTACTGCTGCTTATTATTTTTTTTTTAATTTTAACTGTAAAGCAGTCTTAGGCAGCTCTTTCAGAAGATGTCCAGAAGGCATTGTTCTCATAGGAGGTGACGGCTCCATGGGTACTACTGCCCCTGAGGAGCCTGCAGTGGGACAGGATGTGAAGGTGGAAGATAGTGATATTGATGATCACTGTTTAGGCCTAGGACAACGTGTGTGTTTGTGTCTTCATTTTTAACAAAAGAAGTATAGAAAGTAAAAAAAAAATTAAATAGAAGAAAGCACATAGAATAAAAATATAAAGAAATAAGATATTTTATACAGCTGTACAAAGTATGTTCTGAGCTATGTGTTATTGTAAGAGTAAAAAAGATGAAAAATCAAAAACTTTATAAAATACAAAATGTTACAGTAAGCTAAAGTTAACTTATTATTGAAGACAAAAAAATGTTTAAATGAATTTAGTGTGCCTAAGTACACTGCATTTATAGATCCCGCAGTAGTGTACTGAGATGTCCTAGGCCTTCATAATCACTCGTTCACTGACACCCAGAGCAACTTCTGGTCCTGCAAGCTCCATTCATGGCAAGTACCCTGTACAGGTGTAGCATTTTCTATCTTTTATGCTGATTTTTCAGCTGTACCTTTTCTGTGGTTAGATATGCTTAGATACATAGATATCTATCACTGTGTAACCATTGCCTTCAGTATTCAGGGCAGTCCCATGCAGTACAGGTGTGTGGTCCAGGAGCAACATGCTGTATCGTAGAGCCTCAGTGTGTGGTAGGCTAGTCCACCTAGGTTTCTGTGAGTTCACTCTACGATATTTGCACAAGGACAAATCAGCAAACTATGTGTTTCTCAAAATGTATCTCCATTGTTAGGAGATGCATAGTTGCACTATTTTCCTAACGGTATGTGTTTTCTAATTCCCATAAACTGTCTTCCTGCCTTCAATTCAATGTCTACAGATTTGCCTTATAGTTGATACTTCTTGCTTCTAAATATATGTATGCATTTTAAACTATAATATGAAAGTCTAATCACAGGAGACCTTTATTGTGTTATAAAATTATACATCAATAACCTTTGTTAACTTTTAAAGTTTGTGCAGTATCTGCATATCACATCTTTAAAATCTTAATTCATTAAAATAAAAATCAAGCATTCTGATGGCAGTTTTTAAATGCACAGACAAATATTGACAAGAATTTTAGAAAAAACTTTAGTTTTAAATTTTAAGAGACATTTTTCCCTTCAAAAGACAAAAACAAAAACAAAATCTGTTCTGATTCTTCTATGAACAGAAGTGGCAGAGTATGTTTCGCTCATAAGTTCTGAGGTCACATGACCTCATTGTCAAGGAAGATCTGTATTTCAGTTTATCAGAAATAAAACTAGTGAGGCTGCAGTTCCCGACAATGATGAATTCAAATAGTGAATTTCCAGCTGCATACCCACCGTTCTCCTTCCATCTGCAGATGGGAGGACACCCCCTTGCCTTTTCAAATGACATTGGCCTCTAGTTATTACTTTCCTAAAAATCCAATTTTTCCCTCTGTGACAATTCTGCTAAAAGATGATGAAGTTACGGTTAGTCACATTACCAAAGAGATTGCTCTCTCTGAATCCATACATCAACTCCCTGGACCTCCTATGGATCATAGTGTAAAGGTTCTAGAATTATTCTTTGTCAATAATTTGTTGGTGAGTGAGGTGTATGTGTGTCTACCAGATAGAACTTCTGGGACTTCCTGAAGTATTGTCATTGACTTGAAATTGATCCACCAATGCTGTTATTAATTTTCCTTGACTCACTAAATATCACCCACCCATCCGTCAGGAACTTGCTCTCAACAGAGATTTTAGCCACAAGCCAGACTCATTCTTCAACACCCTTCTTAAAGAGGAAATAAAAATAAGCCTTTCTAAGTTAATGCCAATATTGTCTTTTTAAAATTTTTAAAGTACTATTCTTATGTATATAATAAAAATGGTAGGAGGGGCAGGTTTAGATGGCCTTGTTGAGAGTGGGATGGAAATTTAATTATATTAACATTGTGCCATTGTAATAACAATGACTACATATTATCAGTGCTGGATGCTAGACATTTGGCCGTTTGAGTACATTTTCTGAGTTCCTCATCATTGTTCTCAGATAACCTTGTGCGCATGCAATGGAAAGTTCTGCTGGGTGTAAATTACGTTACTCTAAATTGTACTCACAATATCTGTCCCTCTTTACTTTCGAAGGTACATTATATCCATTTGATTCCTAAAACAAGCCTTGGAAGTATTACTTTCATGCACATTTTGCAGATGGTGGATCTGAGAATCAAATGCTTTAAAACATTTCCCGAAGACCAGCCACCTCCTTTCAGTGCTCAAACTAGGTCTGTGTTCCACCCACTGTGGGCTCCCGTCACTCACTCCGTGGCCTGTCTCTTTGAAAATGCATTCCATGGTATCCTATAACAAATTTCTCTTTAAAATATTCAAATATTAAACTTCCAACTGGATGCATTGACATAAAAGCATCGTGAATAACTTGTTTTTTTTTTACTTTTATATAGTTTCACATTTTTCTCATATCTGTCTCATGTTTCATGTACACAAAGTCCGAGTGTAATTTGTCATTTTGATCTTTGGCTGGCTGTTATTCTTAATTACTCTGAAACCAACTTTGACTTTAAATATCTGAAATATCTTTGCTTATAATTACATACTGTAAGCACACAATAAATATTCAGTAAATAAAGTCTTCAAACGATTTCGTTCAATGAGGTAAAGATTAGTATAAAAAGATAAACTCATTAACAAACAACGAAAGTATTTTTAGTGGAGTAGTTTATCAGCAGATGATTTTGTGTTAATTACAAAAAAATGGGAAAGCAAGGTTTTCAAGGAAACAAACAATTTACAAGCCATGACAGTGAAAAATTGAGAATTGATTCCATTAGATGTGCTATGGAATCATTTATTCAAACTCTCTAAAGAATAAATAAAAAGAGAAAACGATACTGAAATAGAAACTCATTACAACATTTATCATGTGCAAAATGTGAATACTAATAATCCTTACTTTTCAGGGTTGCTTTAGAAATCAAACTGAGCAAACTAAACAATTGAGTGAGCTAATGTTGACTTTTTGTAGTTTCAATTCTAGGAACATCTTCAGTGCGTTTTTAAAATTTTATATTTTTATTTGTAATGTCAAGTTTGTGAAACAAATGATATTAATCCTATATTCCCATTTATTGTAGCAGCCATCTGCTAATGTATTTTTGAACACTGACATTCCAACTTTTTAAAAGACAGTTTTGAAATCAAATATTAACTCTTCTTTTTTTTTCTGTTTCCCAATTTTAATCTTGACACATTTTTTGCAGGTTTCTCATTAGTTTGGTTTTAGTTTCAAATGCTCTTTGAAATGCAACATAATTTATGAGTGTTCTAAAAAATAGAAACTCTAGCTGTCAACATCTTCTTGATGTAACTTCCATATAGGCAAGAGATTTATGTGTTATTTCTACTACTGTGTCCCCAGGATTTACAATTTCTGACCTAGATCTACAATTGGAACCCACTTCTTCCCTAGAAATTTAGCCAAAAAATATTTAATACTAGTAATGAACAATGAGAATAAAATCATTTAACATCTGTTTAAAATATAGTCTTGAGACTATAAGACATGCACAGCCAACTGTCAGGATTTTTGTTTAAGTATACATTATTAGTGGTATTGATATGGGTATCTAAAACCTAATTGAGTCAGAGTGTACCAATAGAAACTACTGGAATGAAAAGTGAAAGAACCTCATAAGAAGATTGGGAATTAGTTTTGAATGTTTAACAGAGAAATGGACAAGCAGATGATTCTACAAGAGGCTTGGAAAATGGGAATATTACAATGATGCTAGGAAAACGAGTTTTTAAGAAAACCTGAGGTTGTTTGACAAGGAGAAGAGATCGGGGTTGAATTAGGCAGAATGAAGGCATGTGTGTTTTCCAGTTACATTTAGTGTGTGTTTTATTAACTATCAGAATTAAGAACAAGGGTATGCATTAGAAAGAAAGGAGCTTTTAACTCGATATACAAATTGATGCTGCAACACGATGGAAAAAAACTGCTTTTGGAAGCAGTAACTTTCCTTTTCTTTTTGGAGGATCAGCTAGGGGAAGATCATCCCATGGGAAAGGCTTTGCCGTGGCCAGTGTGGCCAACCCAAGGGCCAGGACCCTTGAGGAGCTGCTAGCTTGATGCAAAGTCTCGGTGCTTTGAACACAGATCATGGGCTGATTTGCACGTATTTACTAATTTTCATTGTCTGTGGATGTTATTAATGTAGCTCAGTTAAAGCTAGGAGGGAACTATTGTAGTTTTGATATTATATATTATAATCACTAGGTTCTAAAATTAGAATCATATTCATGGTTTTTTTTTATTTGAACCTCTAAAAATGTGTGACCTGAAAAACTAGGATCCAGTTCTAAAATCCTTTCTAGTGCTAATATTTGGTGATTTTGTGATAAACAATTTAATTGATATATGTGCTTTGTGGAATTTTACAAGTCCCTAGACATCCCCACAAATCATAGAAGAGCAATGAAAAGGGAATGGGGAATGCAGTGCTTGGTCTTGCAAGTGAAAGAATGTCAAAGATTGTTTTGTTGTTTTCTTCTTTTCTCCATAAAAGCAATCAAACACATTGCTTGAGGTTGAGAACCACATAACGAAAGCATGGTTAAAGAAGTCCAAAAATGCACTTGATGCCAATTTATTTTGCCAATCTATGCATTTTTTAATTTAGTTTTAAAGATAGTTCAAAATCAAGCTCATGAACTATTTAAAACTTTTCAATATAAACCTTTCCAAACAAGTTTATTGAAATTGTATGGAATTCCTTTGTATTACATACATAAAAACACAATTTCCACCATTTTATCGATGAGTACCCTCATGAGGGGGCCAATAGTGCCAGGCTTCCTGGAAAAGTTCTATTTAATACTTGATTTAACATCAATCAGTGTAGTTTAGTGTTTGTCCTGGAATTTTGCCCTAAGACTCATGTACCAAAGAATTGAGATCACCGGACAGCTGCAGTGGTTCATGCCTGTAATCTGAGCACTTTGGGAGGCCGAGGCAGGAGGATCACCTGAGTTCAGGAGTTCGAGACCAGCCTGACCGATATGGTGAAACCTCGTCTCTACTAAAAATACAAAAATTAATGGGCGTAGTCACAGGCGCCTGTACGTAGTGGCAGGCGCCCAGCTACTTGGAAGGTTGAGACAGGAGAATTGCTTGAACCCAGGAGGCGGACGTTGCAGTGAACTGAGATCCTGCCACTGAACTCCAGCCTACACGACAGAGCCAGATAGATTCCGTGTCAAAAAAAAAAAAAAAATTAAAAAAAAGAATTGAGGTCACTGTATAGTGACCTCAATATCCTATACACTAGCAAGTGCACACACACAGATATATCATAAACTCACACCTATACATACACTCACATGTTTTAACTTGAAATAAGGAGGCATGCTTGCATTTTGATTGAATTACATGAATGCATTTCCTCTACCGTTTTGTTTTGCCTATATTTTTTATTCAGTCAATGATTTATTGAATGCCTATTATGTTCAGGGCAAGAGGTACTCTTGCTACTAACACAATAAAATAAAGTACAACGTTATCTATTTTGCTTATTTACACACTATTATTCTCCCTCAGCATATTTGTGCACTAGAGTTTTCAAGGATATTTCTGTTAACAGGACAGCGAGATGCTAGTTGGCACCTCAGCCTCCTGCGTGAGCTTTGCCATTCTTGAACATCTGTTTCACCATTTGGCTAATTTATGCTGTCTCTTTTTTTTTCAAAGGTTCAAACATACAGAAGCATTTAGTTACTTTATGAAGGCCCTTTGATAGCTTAGGCATGTTGAGAAAACATTAAGTATAAAGGAAGCAAGCTGTTCATAATAGGTCTTTTTAACAATTAAGAAAATATTCATTGAAAGTATAGGCAGAGCTATTATATATTAAAAAATCAACCCAGAGGATTCCTAGAAACATAGGACTCTTAGGAGCTTAGCTTTGACATGACCTTTAAATGCATCCTTCAACATCTCACCCAATGCTTCAGTCTCCAAATATCCAGAGCAGAAGATCACTGCATCTCTGTGAATTCCTTCTAGGTACCTACTACCTCAAAAGGCTGTTCTGATCCTTAGAAACTGCCGCCCGTAGAAGAGGCCATAATGTTCCCTCCATTTAGCTGTGCACTTTGGTCTCTAGTTTGGCCACCAGCTTCTCTGGGAACAAATATAAACTCTCTGAGCAGTGGCAGCACTCATGGGTTTAACAGCAAGCGAAGTGCTTTAAAGAGACTTGTTCATTCTCCACAACAGCTCCCAAATGAAGGAGATAGATTCTTTTTTTTTTTTTTCTGAGTTGAAGTGTCACTCTTGTTGCCCAGGCTGGAGTGCAGTGGGCAACTATATATATCATATTAATATATATAATAAATTAATATTATATATTATAATATATATATAATATATAAAATCTTAACATATATTTATATTCTATATAAATATATATATTAATATATAAATATATAATATAATTATATAATATATAATATATTATATTATAATATATAATATTAATTTATTATATATATTTATTTTTTATTATATATAAATATATATGGAGACTGTATATCTAGAGAGAGTATATATTAATATTATATATTCTAATTAATAGTATATATAATTAATATATATTAATAGTATATATAATAGTATATATAATTAATATTATATATTAATAGTATATATAAGTAATATATATTAATAGTATATATAATTATATATTATACTATATATTAATTTATTACATATTAATTTATTTATTATATATAAATATATAGAGAGAGGGACTATAGATATATAGACTATATATATCTAGAGAGAGTATACATATAGACTATATATATAGGCTATATTATATTATATATAGCCTAGGCTATATATCTATAGGCTATATATTTTATATAT
This sequence comes from Homo sapiens, assembly GCF_000001405.40. Classification (NCBI taxonomy): domain Eukaryota; kingdom Metazoa; phylum Chordata; class Mammalia; order Primates; family Hominidae; genus Homo; species Homo sapiens. The sequence goes on along the minus strand of NC_000008.11, from coordinate 3,839,041 downwards.
ATAATAAATATATATAATATCAACATATAAATATATAATATTATAATTATATGATATATAATATATTATATATAATATTAATTTATAGATATTAATTTTTTATTATATATAAATAGAGAGACTATACATATCTAGAGTATATATTATTATATATTATAATTAATATTATATATAATTAATAGTATATATAATAGTATATATAATTAATATTATATATTAATAGTATATATAATTATTATATATTATACTATATAATATCAATTTATTATATATTATACTATATAATATTTATTATATATTATACTATATAATATTAATTTATTATATATTATACTATATAATATTTATTATATATTATACTATATAATATTAATTTATTATATATTATACTATATAATATTAATTTATTATATATTAATTTATTTATTATATATAAATATTTATATAGAGAGGGACTATAGATATATAGAGAGACTATATATATCTACAGAGAGTACATATATAGACTATATATATAGGCTATATTATATTATATATAGCCTAGGCTATATATCTATAGGCTATATATAATATAATATAGCCTATATATGTATAGTCTATACTCTTACACTCCCTCTATATATAGTCTCTCTCTATATATATAGGCTATATATATAGTGCGTATATATAGTAGAGACAGTGTCTCACGACATCACCCAGGCTGGTCTGGAACTACTGGACTCAAGCAATCCTCCTGCCTTGCCTCCCAAAGTGTTGGGGGTTACAGGTGTGAGCCATTATGCCCAGACTTGTGAATTTCTGACTGCAGGTTGTACTATATATTTCTGTCATAGTTATCTATCCATAGGAAGGCAGGGTCTGTGTCTGATTCATTTGTATTCTGCAATACTTAGTATAGGACTCTGATATTTGCGGCTGTTTTCTAATCCCAAGTTAGAAATTCCAGTTTCTGCTACAGCTTTCCCAAAGCCCTACAACCGTTTCCAAGTCACACTAATCAATACATACATATTTATTTATGATAATTAGTTGGGGAGGGCATCAGAAGTCCAAGAAGCCAGTTTAGATTTCAACTCATGAAAAATAAGAAATAAATTAAAGGACATTTATTTGAAAAACAGTATATTCATCTGTGCATTTCCAAGTGACAGAAGAAAATGAAAACTAGTCCTGTGAGGTTGGAATGAAGCTGTGGCAATAGAATTTCCTGCGACTATAGAGAGGGAAGCACTGGTTCTTTGTCAGTGGATAGTGCAGTCTGAGAAAACAAAGATGGAACTGATAAACTGGGAGGAGCCAGGAGGATTTTAAGGAGAGGGTAGTTATGTGTTCTCAACCTCTATTACTCTTCCTACTCAAGAGCAGACATCCCTGTGCCTATGTAGGATGGGATTTTCTTACAATCCGCAGAAAATTCCACAAACGCTAGAATTTCTATTAAGACTTCTAAACTTACTTGTCAGTCATTTCAAGTATCATTATTGGTAATGTTATCTTGGGGGCTGTGTTGTTTTTTAAATGTCTCTGCATCCTCAGGATCTCACATCTTGTTTCTGCTGTTCAGCATTAGGTCCCAGGAGGACATCTCTTCTCTTATAAATGCCTGTCATATGTGACGTAGGCAGTCCTTTGAGATCAAAGTGCATGCTACTTCAATTTTCTGCAGACCATTTAGTGGCTTAATATAGCTCCAGCCTGGGGCTCTGATGTAGAAATGAATACTAGTTGCAATCTAATTTTCTTCTGTTGTTGAAGAGATTCATCTATCTAATAAAATGATATTACAAAGGGTTGAATAAGCTTTAGCTATGCACATCTATTCTGGAATAATTGGCCAATGTTTTCTTTGACCACAGACTGTGAAACTGATGTGAACAGATTTTTTTTTTTCCTTTAGTGACTACACTTTCAATTTTTGCATTTAATACTGAATGGTAATCTACTCAATGGTAGCGTTCTTCCTAGCTCTTCATGTTGAAAATCACCCATGGGCATCAATTGACCCAGCCTGGCCACCAAGAAGGGAGTAACTTCACTTAAAGTAGCTAATTAAGGATCTTAGTTCTGTTTTCTTTTATAAAACTTTTTATTTTTGCCAACTTTAGTGCATTGAGATTTAACTAGGAAAATAATGTCCTGAAAAAAAAATGTTAAAGAACTGCTTTAGTCAAGTTATATTAAATACTTAACATTTAAATATTAACATATTTAATTGAGTTATAAAATTATTTAAACTGTGAGAAGAAATAAATAAAACACTAAGATTGTGCAGTGAGAAAATACATTTTTTTGCCCTGAATTTCATTGTCTCTTGAAACTCTGCTAATCTGTTTATTTTCCCAATTCTAACCATATTGAACAAAGGTTATTACAGGAACTCACGTGTCTCATGTTGTGAATGTGTAATTTGATTCAGGTCAAATACCATTTAGTAAATATAAATTACTTAAATATGCTTCAAAGACCAAGCTTCAATATCACCACTTTTCTGACTCACTCCATCCTAGTTCTTGCTCTAAAGGGTAAGATGTGGCTTAAAATTAGTATATACAGCAACAATCTCTGCTACATCTCCTCTACAGTTTCCCTATTAATGCAGAAATTGGAGATTTCTGCATTGGAGAAATTTTCCATCACCTAAGAAAACATCTTTGTATTTAGACCCTTGGGATTCCCACAAGGATATAGCTAGTTCCTCATAGATCTTTGTCAAGTAAACCCAAAACTGGCAAACTGCTTTGACTTGTTACAAGCTTCAATCAGTTTTTTAATGCCACATTGTGAAATAAGAGCAGATAACCAAATATTAAAGATATTTAAAGAATGTCCGATGACATGATCAAAATAAACAAGTGGAAAAATCTATAATAAACTGAGACAATGAATATAGTAAGAAAAAAATAACTTCACACCTTTCAAAGGATAGGAGGTGGTTTTACATAGGTAAAAGTTTAAAAAGATAATTAAGAAATTAGAGACATAGAAAATCAATAAACAATTAGAAAAAGCTAATGAAACAGAAAATGAGGACAGTAGAAATGATAGAATCTTATAGAAATAATAAGAGAGTCAAGGTCTTAATCCAAAAGTTCTATTCCTGGACCCATATTGTTCCTACGGAGAAAATATGTTGAAAAAAGTCTTATCAAAGCCTTCATGGAAAAAACGAATGGTACAGAGGCACTAAAGGTACAGAAGAACTAAGGAACAGAAGAACTCCTAGACTGAAAAATTACTCTTAGGAACTCACACAATCACCCAGAGTTAGCCAAATGGTGGGGTTAAGGGTGGAGCCATCCAAATTTCTTTTTTTTTTTTTTTGTTAATTTTATTATACTTTAAGTTTCAGGGTACATGTGCACAATGTGCAGGTTTGTTACATATGTATACATGTGCCATGTTGGTGTGCTGCACCCATTAACTCGTCATTTAGCATTAGGCATATCTCCTAATGCTATCCCTCCCCGCTCCCCACAACAGTCCCTGAGGTGCGATGTTCCCTTTCCTGTGTCCATGTGTTCTCATTGTTCAATTCCCAGCTATGAGTGAGAACATGTGGTGTTTGGTTTTTTGTCCTGGCGGTAGTTTGCTGAGAATGATGGTTTCCACTTTCATCCATGTCCCTACAAAGGACATGAACTCATCATTTTTTATGGCTGCGTAGTATTCCATGGTGTATATGGACCACAGTTTCTTAATCCAGTCTGTCGTTGTTGGACATTTGGGATGGTTCCAAGTCTTTGCTATTGTGAATAGTGCCGCAGTAAACATATGTGTGCATGTGTCTTTATAGCAGCATGATTTATAATCCTTTGGGTATATACCCAGTAATGGGATGGCTGGGTCAAATGGTATTTCTAGTTCTAGATCCCTGAGGAATCGCCACACTGACTTCCACAATGGTTGGACTAGTTTACAGTCCCACCAACAGTGTAAAAGTGTTCCTATTTCTCTACATCCTCTCCAGCACCTGTTGTTTCCTGACTTTTTAATGATCGCCATTCTAACTGGTGGGAGATGGTGTCTCATTGTGGTTTTGACTTGCATTTCTCTGATGGCCAGTGATGATGAGCATTTTTTCATGTGTTTTTTGACTGCCTAAATGTCTTCTTTTGAGAAGTGTCTGTTCATGTCCTTCACCCACTTTTTGATGGGGTTGTTTGTTTTTTTCTTGTAAATTTGTTGGAGTTCATTGTAGATTCTGGATATTAGCCCTTTGTCAGATGAGTAGGTTGTGAAAATTTTCTCCCATTTTGTAGGTTGCCTTGAGCTCTTCCTATTCCGCCATCTTGGCTCCACCTCCGAGAATGGAGCCGTCCAAATTTCTAATCTGCCCAAGACTTTTGACACCAACTACACGTTCTGTGGATCCCTAAACCACCATCAGGTTTGATAATTTACTAAAAAGACTCAAAGAACTCTCTGAAACGTATTACCTTCACATTTGTTACATTTATATATTTGTAATACAGCCAGGATACATTTAAATCAGCCAGTTTTGGAAGAGACGCACAGTGCAGCTTCTACCCCGTTTCTCCCCTTAAGTACCGAGGTACTGACCTGGAACAACACACATGGAGCACTGCCTGCCGGGGAAGCCCAGTGAGTCTGCCCCACTTCCAGGGGGTATTTGGGGTTTTACTGTGCAGGCACAATTGGTTGATTAACTGCAGACAAGGTTAAACTCAGTCCCCACCTTACCTATAAGCAGTGAGTAAGCCACATCCACAGAGGGTAAAGGGAAGTCATGGAATGTCAGTTGGAAGAGCCCTAGATACAGATGAGAATATATGGACAGAGGGGGCCTTAGGAGCAATTCTTTACAAAATAAAAGAAAAAAAATTTTAAAATAACTGTTGATAGAATAGGTAAAAAATAGGTATATATAGATAAAGCAATAGTAAAATTGAAGACAATTAGAAATGTAAGGAAAACAAAAACAATTTTAAGAAAGGAAATCAAAGTATAATATTTTTTCAGTAGTGACCAAACTTTACATTAGTGACCGTGTCAAGAGTTAAATATTTAAATCCTTAATTCACCTGAAAAGTGGTGTTCAAACCGTATAGGAAAGGTGAATTGAAAGAATAACAACAGCAACAACCAACCAATAATACATAAATTTGATATTTCACAAAATAGGATTATAGACTTGGTGTTTACAACTACACTTCAAATCAAAGTTTGGGAGTTAAAGAAAAACGTCTTATATTGTTTAACCATTTTGTTTTATCTTTAATGAGCCTCTCTTTTCCAAGTTTACCAAGAGAAGAGAACCAGGGCCACATTTTAAAAATTATCCATGTAAGTGCCAACATAGACCTTATATATATGTAACCAGTCAGAAAGATTGAAGAAAAGGATAATTTATTTTTAAAGTTGTCCCATACAAACACCATCCTGTGAGAGACACTTCCATGTGTTTTAAAGAAATTATTGTTCAAAGTATCATCAAAATTATGAAAAACAAAAAAGTTGATTACCACTTAGGACACAAAAAAAGTGCTTCTTCATTGAAAAAAATTCTGAATATGAATGAGGAAAGGGCTTTGTTATAGTAGGAAAATAAGATAGCATTAATAAATGATTTGTAAACTGTCATATTTATGATATAAAATATGGCAAAATTAAAATATAAAAGGAGTTGAATGCAGTAAATTATTTTAGGAGGTGAGGAAATGCCGTTGTATATAAAATGGCCCAGAGGCTTAGAATAATGTTTTCCGAATAGAAATCTGAAACATAAAATAAACAGATATCAGTGTTGTAATGACAAAATGCAGATATTATCAACATGTGTAATATGGTTAGAATTACAGTACGGACAAAAAAATTCTTGATTAAAAATTCTTTGGACAAATTAAAGTGATTATATACTTTCCTGAAATTTTAAAGAGAGGAAGTTGATCGTTTGACATGCTCCCTGTAGTGGGAAGTTGTTTTTGAAAAAATAAAAATAAAAATCAGAAACATTCAAACAGCTGCCATGAAATGGAAAGCCCTCACTACTTTATAGTATCAACTTAGCAGCTGACACTTTAATATAAAAAGAAAACAGTGTCTATATTTCTCAATTATTGATATTCACTTGTTAAAATATTTAATAATTTTATTGAAGGAAACGTACTCCTATTTGTGTTGCTTATGCAATATGGGTTTTCTTCTTGGATTCTCCAAATAGATGTTTCTACGTGTTTCTATAACCATACAAATTGATTTTTATTTTATTTTTAATAAGGCGAAGGTATTTCTAATCTGGATCAGATGGAAAGTTAAAAATCTGATCATATTTTAGTTATCAGAAGTCATCATGGTGTAAGTCCTATTTTTGTTTCGTTCTGAAATACAGTCATGAATCTATAGTGTCCACGGTCCTTGAATCTCAGTTTCGTTGTAAGTACTTGAAATCTTCGACTCCTTCAAGAACCCATGCCATCATTGCTGTGTTATTTCTGTTTTTGTTTTTTTACGTCTTGAAATGATTTTGCTTCAGACATATACAATAAGACAAAAATAGTTTAAAATAAGTGATGCTATGCAACAGATAAATGTGGATACACATTTAGAACAAGAAACAAAAAATCTTATCTTACATAATCGCTTTATAATTAAGGCAATTCAGAGAAATATAGTAGTTTAAAATAATTCAATTGAGAAAATGTCACCAGAAAAAACTAAATATTTTAGACAGGAGATTTGCGGTATATATTTTGAACAAGGAACATCATTGCGTTTTAACGGTAAAGATTAAAATAATCCCGTGTACTCAGGAATAAGGGAAATCAGGCAGGGAAGCGCAGGACTTCAGGTACCAGGTCTGGACAGGGCACAGCTTATTCCATCCCACGTGACTCAGCCTCCACGGCTGTTTGCCTTTCTTAATTTTCAGAGGCTGGCCCATAAATAGCCCTAAAGAATTACTGTTTGCCCACATGCACATAAGGCAGGATTCCACACATGAGATACCCAGTCTTGATTAAGAAGGGCTGGTAACAGTGATAAGAGCAACGCAGAGAAGGACAGAGATTTTTAAAAATTTACCAAAAAATGTGGATGGTGGCAACACAAATGTACAAAACCTAATACACTCTGCAAACTTTCCAGGACTAATCTCTGGGGGGTATTTTAAAAGTCTTGATATTTCTGGGTTACCATATTGTATGACCTGAATCACAAAGATGCTATGTTATATGAACAAGGATAGCAGTAGCTTTCCAGATTATGATGGGCAGCATTTCACAGTCCCGCGTGTGAGCAAAAATATCCCAAATGGCTATGTGTTGTGCTACCCATCCGAGAACTGTATTTGGAAACCTATTCTTTTTCAATAGTAAATTCATTGGCATTCCAAACATATATCCTTTGCCGGTAAAGATTTTAATTTGTCATAGATTCCTTTTGAAGGAAAACCCATAAGTAGTGCAATGAAAAGCTATAATATTAGAGAGGACATTTGGGATATTCCATTGCTGTAGTGAGCACAGAGGCATATGAAAACAACATTTTCCTCCAGCCTGTTCTCCAAAATTAATTTTTAAGCATCTACACTGTGGGCTTCAGTACCTCAATATCATGTTTATAAGGAATCTCCTGGATGTTTCCTTATGGAATTTTAATATAGCTTTGGTCATTGTGAGGGCAGTTCCAAGAATCATTTGTCTCTGTTGGAAAGACGAGTTTGCAAGTGCTGTTAATAATTCCAGAAGGAGACAGATGGAGCTGTCCGAAATGCAACATGCCACAGCTCCCCAGGGCAGCTCCCCTGACGAGCAGGAATAACTAAGAGCAGTATTCTCTCAAAACTTTGTTTTTTTTATTTAACTTTCCACATGCTTTTGTGAAAAATCTATCCACTCATCAATGTAGAGTCTCTAGATAAATTGGGTTTCTTTTGAATTGTGAAAGCATTTGTGAAATATTGTTAACATTTAATTCTGAATGGTATTGGACACTCAATATTTGATTCCTTTCTTCTGGACATTTCCAACACCCAAACCCTGTTCGCGCATTAAGCTGCCTTCAGAGCCAACAAGCAGAAATTTTTTGGTGAAGGAAAAGGTGACCATGTGTTAATCGTCCTAGGTGAACTGTCCCTCAGAAAGAACTTAAGAAATAATTTTAGGTGAGAGGAAGGAAATATAGATTTTATTAACGTAGTGAACCTCGATGAAGACACACTTAAAACTGTCATTAGGCATGCATGAAAGGAGAGCTTAATAACTCCTAATTATTTTATTTCAGTTAGCATTTTACTGGCGTGCATATCCATTCATCTTGAGATTAAGTTCTTTTGAATAATTATTATATTTTAATAAACACAAAGTTCAGCAGGTCTGGGAGGAATTGGGGCATTTTTTTTCTCTCTGTTTTCTGAGTGTGAATTCCTAGGCACATTGATATTGGCCATGGCAGAGCATTAAATCAATATTTTTCTGCCAGTGTTGCTTGCAAACAATCATTCTTCAATAATAACTTATTGGAGGGTTTCTACATGCCAGGAGGTCTTTGAGATACTAAGGACATAACAGTCTTCACAACTCCATGATTCTCAGTTGCACAGAATGCAGAGCTTAGAGAAAGAAATGGTGTTAAAACAATCACAGTAGTCAACGTATAATTAGAACCTGGGTATCATCTGATTGGAAGCGGTCCAGGTAACGTCTCCTTGAGGGAAAGCAACCTCTGAGCAGAGATGTGAACCAACGACCAATCATTCGGCAAGTGAAGGCTGACGCTTAGTTTGCCCCAGAGCCAGATGCTCTGTAATGTGACTAACTGTGCTGATTTTTGCTCTATCATGTATGATCACCTTTAGAAATTTCACATATTTTACCTCAAACAATCCTTGTTCCACTTCATAAATCAGCTTCATGGAAGAGAAACTCTGGAGCATATAGTATGAAATGATATCAGAGAAATTACTCTCCTTCACTTTAGGGTCAAGAAAACGGGCACAGAAGAAAATTAAGGTGATTTGTCAAAAGTCAGCCCAAAAAGTTATTAGAAGAGTTAGACCTGAAATCCACTTACCTTGTTAACAAAGGAAAACAAATGTATAAACAAAAAACATATGAGCAAAATTTTTAATTTTCCTTGAAATCAGTTTTTTTTCAAAGGAGAAAAGCCTTCATTTTCCCAATAGATCTATGTAGATAGATGTTCACATAACAGTGTTTTCTAAGCGGATTAATATTCAAAAAGAGCTTTCTTAAAACGAACTTATTCAGTGGCCAAAGAAGTGTTGGAAAACCTCATTCAATATTCCTGTCTTGGAGAAATCACATAATTGGGGTATAATGAGAATTTTGAGAACTGCTACAGGAAGAAAGCTGATTTTCAACCAAATATTTCTCAAGCATGTTAAGATACGAGGACATTTGCATCATAGAACATCTCTAATTCTTAATTCATTCTACATCTTTTTCTTCAGCTCTCCTGAGGGGCCCATCATTATTCTAAGTACTGGAGGTTACAGCAGGGAAAAGAGTAGCAACTCTCCCAAACTCATGTAATCATGTTCTGGTGCAGGACAGAGGGACAAAGGAAAAATACTCAAGAACAGCAGGGTGGCGGCAAGGGCTCTGCAGATAACCTGAATTCATGTGGAACCGGTATTGACTTATCTCATTCTGACTGTTGTAGGTTGAAACCTGAAACTTCTCTGAAGGGGTATAGTTTGACAGAGTTCTCAGTAACCAGAAAGACCTGGTTATGGAAAGGTGATTGTAGAATAAGTGAAGTAGCTCAGGAATGGAAAACCAAACATCGTATTTTCTCACTCATATGTGGGAGCTAAGCTATGAGGATGCAAAGGCATAAGAAGGATACAATGGACTTTGAGGACTTGGGGGAAAAGTGAAAGGAGGGCGAGGGATAAAAGACAACAAATAGAGTGCAGTGTACACTGCTTGGGTGATGGGTGCACCAGGTTCTCATAAAACTCCACTAAAGAACTTGCTCATGTAAACAAATACCACCTATACCCCAGTAACTTACGGAAAAATACATTTTTTTAAAAAAAAAGAAAGGTGATTGTAGACAGAGGAAACAGCTGGGGTAAAAACCCTAAGGAACTGTGTTGCCATATGTAAGAAACAGAAAGAAGACCAGTGTGCAGAAGTAATGGGTGAGCTGAAGGCCACTACAGTGAACATGGGGTTGGTGATGTGAGACGGGGCTAGAGATAAGACAAAATCTCGTGGAGTTTTGCAATCAAGAGTGAGGCATGAGGCTGTAACTTGAGGTGCAGTGGAAGGATGCTTGGGAGGAAGTGACAGGACCTCACTGATGTTTAGTAAGGTCTCTCTGGTGAGGCTTGCAGAAAGGCTCCAAACTAGGGAGGCCAATAAGCAACCTGAAAAGAGGTCCGTAGAAAGATGACGATGGCTTGGATTAAAATAGGTGTGACGATGACTGGGATTGGGACAGGAAGAAATGGAAGAAAATTGTCGAATGCTTTGCAGAGAGAGTCAATACGACAAGTTCTGTAAGACACAAGAAGGTGGAAAAAGGAGAGGAATTATAGATAACTAGTGTTTGGGAAACACTGATAAAGATCAAGTGATTTTCTGTATTCACATGGGTTTTTATATATTTTATTCTTTTTGTATTCCAAGTCAGAGGCTGTTGCAATATGACAATATGGTAACGCAGTTTCCTCAAAACTAAATATTCTATGAAAATCCTAACAGATTCTTAATTATAGATTCATTATACTTAAGTGAAAGCTGAGACAGGTGTTCCAAACTGAAAATAAGCATGTTCGGAAGAGCCATCAGATCTTACATAACGTTGTCATTTATTTTTCATGATAATAAGAGTGTCTTTTCTAGCCAGGAATATCAAGGATTGCATACTGGTTAAACTTGGATTGCCTTTGTAAATGTTAAGTGACTTTCAATTAGGATGTTCCCAGGTTCTGCCATATGGGCTATTAACATGCTGTATAGGATGTAATTAAGCTCTGTGTGGCATAACTTTTTGCTCATTGAAGTGGAGTATATCACACACAAATCCATATAATTGTAAAGTCTTGCCATGCATGAGGTTGTTTCTGTTTATGTTAAGATGGCTATTTGGTTAGCAATGTCAGGATAGATACTTTATTTTCTCTTTTAAATAGTGCTTACTATATTGTTTCCTTTGAGTGAGCCCATGGGGATGAAACTTCATCAGAAGTGCTCTTCTGTGACATGCACTGTGAGTTATTAGTGGACCGACTTTTACAGTGTCATATTTGTGTAACTGGCAATAATTTATAGGATAGTCTTTTCCCAATCAACTATTCATTATCGTATAGTGAAGAAGTACAATGAGGTGGATGGAATAAATCCTGACAAAACTCACAATGAAGTCAATAAATTGGGTTTATCTGACTTTCAAAAATCATGTTTTATTCGAAGAGGTTTTTATAGAAAGATTAGTTCCATATGAATAGTTCATTTCATTGATGTAATTTGAAATTTTGTCTTGGGCTTTGATCTAGCAGAAAACATTTCAGGAATATGACAGTGCCTTGGGGAAACCTAGATGTCACAGAGGAATTACAAGTTAAAAACCACGTCGTGAAAGACCACACAGGTTTTGCACTATTAAAATATTTGCTTAATAAGATGTGTTTATTTTTCCAACTATATAGGTATTTGATATCTAAGTACAGGTGGTACTGAAACAGAATGTCTTTTAAATTGTTGTCTATAGTTATTAATTTTGTTTAATTCTTTTATATAGAGCCTTTGACTCTAACCACATGTGGTTCAAATGTAACATTGCAAGGATATGTGTGCTTTATTTTAGCTATTGATGAAAAAGTCGGTATGAAAGACAAGTTTGTCCCTACTCTTTGGGAGAATATGTAATACCTCAAGAACATAAGTACATTAAGGTTCTAAACTGTGTGAGCACATGTAGGGTTTTTCTTTTACGGTTTTTACATCTAAAATAGAGAAGATATTGTTTCTAGGCTGGCTTGGTGGCTCATGCCTATAATGTCAACACTTCAAAAGGCCAAGATGGGAGGATCACTTCATATCAGGAGTTCAAGACCAGCTTGGGCAACATAGCAACACTCTGTCTCTATAAATTATATTTAAAAAAATAGCTAGGCACATGCCTGTAGTTTCAGCTACTCAAGAGGCTGAGGTGGGAGAATGGGTTGAACTCAGGAGGCCGATGCTGCAGTGAGCTATGATCACACCACTACACTGCAGCCTAGATGACAGAGTGAGACCCTGTCTCAAAAAAATATTAAAATTAAAAATAAATAAAAATATGTTCAATGCTTATAAGTGAGTCCTCCTAGGGATATTCAGTACAAACTCTTTCTTTGAAAATAAAGAAATTATCAAGGACCAAGTCAGAGTTGGTTCCTCAAAACCCATGCCCGAGCTGCAGATAAACAGAGAATCCAGATGTAATACTCAGCAGAACGGGACTGAGAGGAAAGCTGGGCTGGGCCAGTGGTTAATCTCAACCCAGAGAGAGGCGCTCATATCAGCCGGGACTTGGAAGACAGAACATCTGAAAATGTGGTTCTAGAAGAGCTTTCATGGTCCCCCTGCCTAGGAGATGTAAAGGTGCTGCTGTAGGCCGGGAGCAAGGGAAGCCCAGAAGAGCGGTCTCCCTAATAACTCGTGTCTCATGATCAGTTGTCTTGGGAACTCTCCCAGAATTTGCATCAGAGGCAATTTTCAAACCCAAACATTCTTTTAGCTCATTTCAAGCCCCCAGTTAAGACAATCTCAACCTCCTTCATTACCCTGGGTGGTATTTTTGGGTGACCCGTGCCTGGGCTGACCAGATGCATCACTTCATCTTTCTAGCAACTGTGTCCAGCTCCACCGTGAAGGCCTCCACAGGGCTTTCAACTCAGTCAAAGCCTCGTCACTTTGATGTATTCATTCGCAGTGTGAGTTCCCTGCTGACGGCCGGTTTATTGTTACAGAAGCATAGTTGTGTATAGCTTGGGTGTTACAAAAGATGTCTATGTGGGCCTCCATTTGAAAGACAACACGTTGGCCTTTGAAAAAGGCAAGTGAATAAAGTGATAAAGAATACGATCCTGCTGAAAGCCAAGTTAAAACGATGCATTTAATCTTAAGTTGGAATTTATCAAAATGAATTCTTACCTGCATGTCTGATTTTGTCATGATACCTTGGTTTCTGATCTTGCCCTAGTGTACAATGCGTCTCTATATGTCTATTTCATATTTAAATGGGATTTAAAGCCTTTCAATTCCATATCATCTGGACTAAGCCTGAATATATTCTACATTTCCACAGTTCATGTGGCCCCAATCGCCTCCTTGTTGCTTCAGTGGAAATTTTCCTTAGCTAGCTACTATGTCTTTGAGGGAGCTCTTGAGCCTAGAGAGTAAAACTTGGCCTCAGTCGCATTTGGCTGTTGTCTTTTATTTCCTAAGAACCAACTGTACTCTTCTATTAATCCCTTCCCCCACTCTTCTAGGTAATCAAACACCACCCTCAGCCCCACACCCCTGAACCTGCCCCTGCATCCCATTGCAGAGTTTTCTTCTCAAGGGCTTTTTGTTTATTTGTTTATCTTGGCTCACTGCAACTTCCACTTCCCAGGTTCAAGCGATTCTACTGCCTCAGCCTCCCAAGTACCTGGGATTACAGGTGCCTACCACCACCCCTGGCTAATTTTGTATTTTTACTACAGACAAGGTTTCACCATGTTGGCCAAGCTGGTCTCGAGCTCCTGACATCCAGCGATCCACCTGTCGCGGTCTCCCAAAGTGCTGAGATTACAGGCGTGAGCCACCACACCCGGCCTCTCAAGGGCTCTTGATGGGACTTTGGATTCACTTATTTTATGACTCCTTCAGGGAATCAGCACGCTAAACCCTCACCTACAGCTTCTGGGAAAGAGAATGAGAAATCTCCCCTGTGCTTCCTTTCAAATCATTTTCCTCGAAAATGCCTGGCCTGAAGAAATAAAGCACACATACCTAGAAGCCCTCATCACAGCGAAGTCTCCCTAAATATGAAAAAGTGCTAGCATTTCCTGCCACATTTCATATTTAAAAATTTTAAAAATATGTGTTTATTATTAAACAACAGTTAAAAAATCAGATTAATCATTGTTGCGGTTTTTATGGTGCTAATTAACAGGGCTGAAATCTTTACAATTCTCATTTTATTAAAGCCTGTGTCAGGTTTTAATTGAAACCCTGTGTCATTTTATTGAAATCCTTTTTTCAATTTGCTCATCCATCAGTTTAGACCTTAGAACTCTGCTGTCCAATATATTGTGAGCCACCAATGTGAGCCACATCTCATTTTAATTCTCTAGTAGCCAAATTAAAAGGAGTAAAAAGATACAGGTAAAATTAATATTAATATACATCATTAACTCAATATATAACAAATGCTATTTCAGCATGTAATCAGTAGAAAAACATTAATAAAATATCTTACCGTATGTTTTTCCTGTGAAGTCACAGAAATGCATTCCGTATTTTGCCCTTGCAGTGCATGTTAATTCAGACTCATCACGCTTTAAGTGTGTCGTGGCTGCTTATGGCTAGTGGATAATGTATGAGGTACGGCACTTAGGGGACAGAGGTGCAGAATGAAAAGTTACACAGGATTGTAATGTCTATTCATCTTTCCCATTGGGAGCTTTGCCACTCTGAGCTTTGGGAGGGAAATCGCCGTCATTTGACAAACTTTGCACATAGTATCTGGCAACCTCTCAGTATTCCTAGGCTGTTGTGCCCGTTTGTTAACATCGAATTAAGTGAAAGAGTCAGCAGTTTTTTTTTTTTGGTTTTTGTTTTTTTGGAATTTCTTTCTCAGATAAATCAACAACTCTGTCAGGATAAATTAGTCATCATCTCCAAAGCTATAGATATTTCCATTGGAATGTTTGACTCGGCTGGTGAATGAGATATTTCTTCCGACATAGCATGAGGAGACTAATTTCACTGTGACATTTTTGTTTTCTACAAATCACCAGGATGAAGAATGAAATATCAGACTTTTGGGCAGAGGGAATATTCAGGCACAGAGACTGGAAGCAAAAACATTATTAGGTTTCAGAACTATTTGAAAACTAAATTATTTGATCTGTTTGTATAAAATTACCAGAGATGTAAAGGTAGAATTAAAAATGAATATTTAATCGTTACAATGAAACTGAGGATCAGAAAAGTATTTAAATTAAGTTAATTTAAAAATTTTTTAAATTACCATCTTTATGATCAAGTCATTTTTAACATATTTATGTTAAACTGACCAAGACTGACAAAAGTATTTTAGAGAAAAACATATAAGTTTACTTTGTGTTAAAAAGGTTATTTGATTCAAGCGTAAGTTAAATGGTTCAAACATATATCCATTGCATAAAACGTGTAAATGATTTTGTATTTTTATTGTTATACATTATTTTTATAAAAATGTTATTTGATTCAAGCATAAGTTGAATGGTTCAAACATGTATCCATTGCATTATAATTGTAAATTTTTTATTTTATTAAGTTATACTTTATTTTTATAACAAAATGTTATTTGATTCAAGCATAAGCTAAATGGTTCAAAAATACATTCGTTGCATAAAAATTGCAAACGTTTTATACTTCCTTTCCTAAATTTTGCATAAGAAATATCATCCCTTGCCTTGAAATCTAACAGTATTTAACTTTCCTTTAAATAATGCAACCGGGATTAAAAATGAGAGTACTGGGTCCCTGTTACACATGCACCCAGAAGATGGTTTGCAGGAGGAAGCGATTCCAGACATTATCTGGCAAAACTGAATTACTTTGAAGTTCTCAGCTATTTTATTTATTTTTGACCTAAACTAATAACCCACCAATATTGCAAACTGTGAGTTCTCTGATGTGGTAAAGATAAAGAAGATATGAAGACACAAGCCACAGTTTATACCTTTGGGATGAGAATCATTTGTATGAAAGGGCCATGAGATCCCAGGTAATTTATTCCTCTTGAAATCTCTTCCGGAACCATAGAAATCATAAACTACTGATGCCGAATTATGTTTTCAGCTGACTCAGCCTTCGTAACCAAAGGGAACCTGGGCAATATACTAAAAAAGTTGATTCAACTTTTCTTAGCCCAGGGATAGAATACCAAACAGTCTTTACTTAGCTCTGCACAGTGAGTTACTCTGGTTCTCATTTAGACACACTAAATTCTAAATACCACATGCATAGCTCATTTTATGTGCCTACTAAAAAAAAAATAAGCCCAAAGTTCTGTTCCACAAATCAACTATCCATCCTCTCTTTATTCTCAACAAACCTGTATTTCCACTTTGGTGCCAAACAAAACCCAAAGGACTTTAGGGTGTCACCTGCCCAGGAGGAAGTCATTGCCGTGACTGTGAAGCTGAGAAGACATAAATGAAGACGGAATGTAATAAAGCAAGTAGAGGTAGCGGGTGACAGAAGGTGGTGCCCAGAGAAAAAAGTTACCAATAAACCCATGAAGTGATAGAGGCGGAAGCAAAGAATTGCCTGTCGGGGAAGACATTAATTAACTTTGCTGTGCATGAGTACCTAGCAGCTCTTGTCTATCCTGAAATTACAGTTAGGAATACCTATTGTTCTTTGTGGCATTGTTCTTTTTCTAGATATTCAACCTAAAAAATGCCCAAGGTTTCAGACTCTTTTTTACTGCTTGCTTCATAGATACAGTTCAACGACTTTTAAAGTACTTGATGTCAAGATTTCAGGGATATTTAAAACACCTGTTCTTCCCCCTAGACACAAGCTCTTACAAGGGTAAATGTCTCTTTAAGGGATGCGTCCAGAGGTTAAGTGATGGAAGCAGGCACATGGCAGAGTGTCTAGTCAAGGAATGAAGTGACTAGCAGTGCTTAAACGATTCAAGGGTTGGCTCAGAAAGGAGAAGTTCCGTCTTTGCTCTTAAAGAAAAAAAATTGTCCAGAAAAATCGGAGACAAAACATAGGACATTTCAGGAAGAGTTAACAGCATAGGTCAAAAGGCAGAGATGTCAGACCGCATGGTGTTCTGAGGAACTGTGATGCAGAAGTTGTATTACAACCAGAGCAAAGAATGTGAAGGGAAACATGAGAGAAGGGCCTGGAAATGTAGGAAAACCTCTCCATGTTGTCTTCATCGCATCCAGCTTCTGGAAGCACAGTTCATGGTTTTTACCTTCTCCGTGTGACTTTCCCATATTCCTTGCCATGACTAACTTTGTTTCTCCCATTAAACTTTTTGTTTGTTTGTTTGTTTGCTTGTTTGTTTTTTTGAGACAGAGTCTCACTCTGTCACCCAGGCTGGAGTGCAGTGGTGCGATTTCAACTCACTGCAACCTCCCGCTCCTGGGTTCAAGCAGTTCTCTTGCCTCAGCCTCCTGAGTAGTTGGGATTACAGGCATGTGCCACCATGCCCGGCTAATTTTTGTATTATTAGTAGAGACAGGGTTTCACTGTGTTGGCCAGGCTGGTCTCGTACTCTTGACCTCAGTGATCCGCCCTCCTCGGCCTTTCAAAGTGCTGGGATTACAGGCGTGAGCCACCGCACCCAGCTCCTGGTAGACTTTAATGGAGCCAAAAATGTCCTACACTTAGTGGCATTGTAGCCATATAATTATGCGTCATAGCAGAATGCATAATCCACATGCGCGTGTGTGTGGTGATGGTGCCATATGCAAACCTGCGCTGCCAGTCTTAGACGGGTCTCATGCATCTACTTATGTACAGTGCATAATACTTGAGAATAATAATGACTGTGTTGCTGGTTAATGTATTTCCTATACTTTTGATTGTTATTTTAGTGTGTACTCATTCTACTTTTAAAAAAGTTAACCTAGAGCTGGGTACGGTGGTTCACACCTGTAATCCCCACAGTTTGGGAGGCCGAGGCGGGTGGATCACCTGAGGTCAGGAGTTCGAGACCAGCCTGGCTTACATGGTGAAACTCCATTTCTACTAAAAATACAAAAAAGTAACCAGGTGTGGTGGCACACACCTGTAATCCCAGCTACTGGGGAGGCTGAGGCGGGAGAATCGCTTGAACCCGGGATGTGGAGGTTGCAGTGAACCGAGTTTGCACCATTGCACTCCAGCTTGGGCAGCAAAAGCAAAACTCCGGCTCAAAAAATTAAAAAAAAGATAGAACACCCTCAGGCAGGTCCTTAAGGAGGTATTCCGAAGAAGGCATTGTGACCTATAATCCCAGCACTTTGGGAGGTCGAGGTCAGCAGATCACCTGAGGTCAGGAATTGGAGATCAGCCTGGCCAACATGGCGAAACCCCATCACTAAAACAAAACAAAAAATACAACAATTTGCCAGGCACGGTGGCGCATGCCTGTAGTCCCAGCTACTCAGGAGGCTAAGGCAAGAGAATAGCTCAAACCTGGGAGGCAGAGTTTGCACTGAGCCGAGATTACGCCACTACGCTCCAACTTGGACAAGAGAGCAAGACTCCATCTCAAAACAAACAAACAACAACAAAAACAAAAACACAACAACGACAAATGGAAGAAAAAGGCATTGTTACCATAGGAGATGTCAGCTTCACGTGTGCTGTTGACCCTGACAAACTTCCAGTGGGACAAGGTATCAAGTTGGAAGACAGTGATATTGATTGTCCTGACCCTGTGTAGGCCTAAGCTAATGTATATGACTCACTTTTAGTCCTTCTTTGGTACTCAGTTCAAACACCATATATCCCAGTTCAAACACCATATATCTAAGAGGAATTCATCTTAGACTACTGTGTCCTCTTCTGAGCTCACATATCCTACACATATTTCTACCTTCCCATTTGCCACATGGTCTGGGAAGTGTGTCTATATGGCTGACCCCTGACCTCAACAAACATGGTTTATATATAGCACCCAGCACTTTGGAGAGCACTTTGTGCAAGGCATTCAAATTAAACTGACCAGGGTCAAGATCATACTGCATTCAAGCAGTGCATCTGTCCCTGAAGAAAATGCAGAATCACTGAGCGTCTTAAGTGGAAATGTACTCGAATGAGATTTTTCTATCTGTGAAGATGACTGTGATGTTCAAGTGGAAAGTACGCTGAAGGGATTCAAGTCTGGGGACAGCAATTCGGGAAACGATGAATTATTCAAGGGAGAGGCGAAGCTGTGGCGTGTCTTGTCCAGTCTGCCTCTATTATAGCACTCTGGATCCCTGCTTGATTTAGTTTACCCCTTGCAAAATCACTTTCAGGCCAGGTGCGATGGGTCACGCCTGTAATCTCAGTACTTTGGGAGGCCAGGCAAAAGGATTGCTTACATCTCTATATAATTTTTAAAAATTAGCTGATCATGGTACCACATGTGCCTGTGGTCCCAGTTCCCCAGGAGGCTGAGATTGGAGGATCACCTAAGACCCCCAGTAGGCCAAGGCCGCAGTGAGTCATGATTGCTCCACTGTACTCCAGCCTGGGCAACAAAGTGAGATCCTGTCTCAGCATATATATGTTACGCATGTTGGCGTTTATATACATACGTGTGTGTGTGTGTGTGTGTGTGTGTGTAGAAATCACCTTCGCTTTTGAGCTCCAGCATTCTTGGAGAATAGAAAGAGCAGTGCCACCGACGATTGAAGGTGAAGTTGGAAGCACTTCTAGCTTCCAACTTTCTTTACCTTGTTGATAAAATATTAATGTAAACTTGACTTTCTGGAGCAAAACAAAGAGGGTAGCTATAATGATAAAATGAAATGACATGAATCTCCTACCTGTCACTCTCTCATCTCTTCATAGCTTCCTGTGACTTATTCATGAGGTGAGAAGTTCCTTATAACTGAAAGGTATGAAGCAGAGGTGTTTGACTACACAGCCCAAAGAGGGTTGTCCATAGTGTTAGCCTGGGAGACATTGAGTTTCACTGTGGGCAGACTCATCCTCTGATGTCAGATTCCTTTCCGCCTGCTAGACCAGCAAATCTTTCCCCCATCTCCTCCTACACTTTTCTCTCTACTCTGCCTTAAGCTATGAAGCTGTGCCATTTTCCTACAAACAGGAAATGTTTTACCGTCAATCTGGATGTCAAAAGAGAGTGATAAATCATTGATGTCAGCTTTTCCCCTCTCTTTTGAAGTTTGTCAACTACCAAACCCCTTAGAAGAAGGGTGTGAGTGTGAGTGAGTGTGGGCATGTGCGGTGGTCTTGCTTTCAAGTTTGCAGGAAGGAAGTGTGAGCAAGGCTGTTAAATCATGCAAGGGATCTTGTCATTCACAGTAGTTAAACAGCGACTCAAAGGGAAAGAGGGACGTAGGTCGGGTGTTTTGGGGTTATGCCAGGTGTGTTTTAACACCATCTGTCTATCTTGATCAAATTCCTCTGGTTGTGTTTTCCATCTCCCTTCCTTTGTTGACTGCCGTTTCTTCAGAAGGTCATCATTGCTGTCATCAGACGATGCCGGGCATCCCTTGCTGTGGGGACCCATGGGACCCTGTTTCTCCCTTTTCTAGCACTTCTCATTCTTGCACCTCCTTCACGTCTTCATGCTGGCTAGTCTCCTGTCTTCTTGGGGTAAGCCTACCCTGGTCTAATCTGCAGTTGTATCTCTCATGCCTAAGAAAGCATTTAGCACATGCATTGAGCTCACTGGATAGCTGATCCATGAGGAGTTAATTAGTTAATAATTGTTTGGTGCTGTTTTCTGAAACTCAGATTTCCCTCCAAGAGTAAACATTTGGAGACCTTAGGAAGGGGTTTAGCTCTCTCACATGAGGGAGTTTCTTTGGAACATGTGTATGTTCTTCTCTCCCACTACACCCTGTGGCTCTGAATAGAGAGGGTGAAGCACCTGTGCTGCACGGACCCAGGGGCTGCATCTTGGGGTGGGCTCTGCGTTTTCATGGAGGAGCAGCTGTGGGGAGTGTGCAGTTGGCATCCTATGAGTGTCAGAGGAGGCACTACCCTTAGCTGAAACTCTCTTTGGGTCCTGGGCTCTCAGGGAATAACATGGTGCCAGGCTGGCTGAGCCCGGACCTCCATGCCTGCTCCAAGCCGAATAGAACGAGAGTCGTGGTTTGGGGTTGGAAGGTTTTAAAATAAAGTAAAAATGGGCTTTTTCTTAAAATACAAGTAAGTATACCAAAGATACCAAAAGAATCCACTTAGCTAATACCAGGTTTTTGTCTGGTAGTTAACAGGGCTGAATCTGCATCTTAGCAAGAATGTCCTTAGTGTGAAGCCGTGAAGGGTATGCTCTGGACTCTGGGAAAGCTGGACTTGGTGTGGCCAGATGCACGTGCTTATTAAACATTCCTGACTTTGGTCTGCATTGGGGCTTTTGGAAGACCTCTGTTTCTGGAAGTTATTTCTCCTTAGCTCTTTATTCTGAAACTCAGCATACCTTCTGAGAGTAGAGAAGTGGAAAGTTCCATTAAAGAAGAGCTTTAAGTTTTTAACATGGGAGTGTTTTCCTAAAATGCCAGATGAATATTGCCCGTAAATATTCTGTGACTCTAAATAAAGAAGATGGCCAGGCGCAGTGGCTCATGCCTGCAATCCCTGCGCTTTGGGAGGCTGAGGTGGGTGGATCACAAGGTCAGGAGATTGAGACCATCCTCGCTAACGAGGTGAAACCCCGTCTCTACTAAAAACACAAAAATGAGCTGGGAATGTTGGCGCACGCCTATAGTCCCAGCTACTTGGGAGGTTGAGGCAGAAGAATAACTTGAACCTGGTAGGAGGACGTTGCAGTGAGCCAAGATCCCGCCACTGTACTCCAGCCTGGGTGACACAGCGAGACTCCATCTCAAAAAAAAAAAAAAAAAAAAAAAAAAAAAAAAAAAAAAAAAAAAAAGAAGAAGAAGATATGACCACTTTGGATTTGGAGATCCTTTCCAGAGTGGACAATTGACCATTTTCATTGGGGAGGGGGAGGGGTCGTCTCTTTCTACTCGAGGAACACATGTCCCTTCATCATGAAGAGCTCTCTCTATAAGATCTTCATTTCTCTTTCCCAGAGACCTCATCTCAACAGATTATCTTCCTTCACCCTGTTTCTTTCTCTCTTGTCATCTCCTAAAATTGTTTTTTCTTTACAACACAATGAGAAGCATTGTTCGAACCTGTTTAATCATTTATTTGTTGGTTTATCTTTCTCTTGATTCGCTGCCTAGAATAGTAGAATAGGGAGGACCATATAGAATTTATGAGGTGTGGAAAGTGAAATATATAGTGCCCCCTTACCCCTGAGAAATATGTTCCAAACCCCTAGTAGACACCTGAAACCACAAATAGTACCAAACCCTATATACAGTATACCATATTTTAAAAAAATTATTGACACACATTAGGTATGCATATTTTCAAGGTTCTGGTCATAATTAAATACATTCCCATGATTTGTAAAGGTAAAATCAGTGTAATTGAGATATCCATCTTAAATATTTGTTTTTCCTTTATGTTAGAAACATCCAAATTATTCTCTTCTGTTTGGTACATTATTGTGAACTGCAGTCACCCTACTAATCTATTAAATACTAGGTCTTGTTTCTTCCATTAACCTGTATATTTGTACTTATTAACTATACATAAACATCTATGAGGAAGTTTAATTTATAAATTAGGCACAGCGAGAGATTCATAACAGCTACTAACGGAATAGAACAATGATAACTATATACAATAATAAAAGTTATGTGAATGTGGTCTGCTTCTCCATCTTGCTCTCAGAATATCTTTTCCTGCTGTGCTCACTTATTTTCTGACAGTGGTTGACTGTGGGTAGCTGAAAACACAGCAAGGGAAACTGCAGAGAATGAGGAACAACTGGCTAGTTTAATGTGGAGAAAATGAATGCACCGTAACCAGGATCGAATATAACACGTGCCCTTCTGTCTGAAAAGTCGTGATTCTCCCAGATGCAGAGAGCACAGAGGGAAGGTTTTTATCCAATCTTGTTTTCTTTGAGACTGAGCCTGCGATTGTTGTGTTAATGAGATAGAGACCTAAAGGTGAAGGCAGGTTTGTCAGGAAGGCAAGTATTGTCATCATCAGAACCAACCCACGGGGACCTAATAACACAGACAATATCTTACTGCCATTTTTAAGTTTGATGTTGTAATGCTTTCATCAAGTAAACCTATTGGAGGAATAAATGAGATTTCTAGTCCAGTGAATTATTTGTTCTTTTTCCTCTTTCTATTTACTCTTGATGATAATTTAGTGTAACAAGTCTGGAGCATCACTGGCTCTAGTTTCTCTGCCACATGCTGGGATTCAAAGGCTAGAATTTAGACTTTCTAGGCCCGTTCACTAGCTCACTACTATAGATCAAATGAACAATGTGGTTTTATGACTTTCCATGTTATGTACATGAGAATCTCCAAGTCCAAAGAATTCAGAGTATGAAAAAGTCACCATCATTGATAAGAGACTGGGAGGATATTGTCTAGGTTGTTTATTTGTTAAAAAAAAAAAAAAAGAAAGTCTAGCAGTGATAGACATTTTTAAGTCATATTAATTTTTATGTAATTTCAAAGCAGTATTTTTTCAAAAGCACAGTTTTTTCTTTTATTTTGTTTGATATCTTGTTTAAACATAGTCTTACACATATTTTTGAGTTTAACTTTTATATTTACACAGAAACCTGAGGGACTGGCACAATATCTGTCAGTGTATTATACTATCAATATAATTAATCTCAATTCATTCCAGATTTAATTTCATCTGTAAGTTTTAACACAGTTCTCTAACTCCTGATGTGTTCCGAAAATGCATGATTTGTTCAGAAGTGAACTAATACTCAACACCATTGGTTATTCTTTCTTCTGTTATCAATGACACATCCTCAGACACTTTACCCAAATCATATGGGTACTCTATGTTCCCATAAAAGGAGAGCAAAGAAAGAAACTATGTTGACCTGGGACTATAGAAACTTAACAGCTTCTCACCCTATATCTGGGAGAAATACTAAGCAAAATATCCCATGTCTAATTATTTTCTGAAAAAATGTACAGCTCAAATATCAGGGGACATTTAATCTTTTTCCCAAACATCTTCATGTGCCTCTTCTACCATTGCTTAGTTTAGTCTCTATGTAACTATTGTAATTTAGTAATTATTATGCAGATGATTGTCTTTCAAAGATCATTTTTTTGGGATGGCTGACTTCAGAAGTAATGAGAGTGTCGGTTTTTAAAGTCATTTATTTTCACCATGACTTTAAATAATTAACACAAGTGGGTGTGTCTAGTATGAAGGAGTCCGCTTCTTCATGGTACTGGAGTTGGCTTGAAATAATCACACCGTGACGAATAAATAGAAAATCGTGGCAGAATAGTCCATTGGAAATGCAAGTTGTGGATTCATACCTAAGTTAAGATTTCTACTTCAGAATCAGCGATCACCAGAGGGCTAAGCTAATGTCTCCATCTCAGCACTATTCACATTTGAGGTTGGATAGCTCTTTGTTTGGGAGGCCGTTCTGTGTGCTGTGGGATGTCCAGCAGCACCCATGGCCTTACCACTAGGTGCAAGTGGTATCCACCCTGATATCACAACCACAGGCGTCTCCAGGTAGTGCCAAATGGCGTCACGGAAGGGAGGATGAATTCGGCCACAGTTGAAAGCTATGGAGTGTGCAAATCATTATTTCATGACAATTCTGTCATGCTCTAGAGATGACAGGTGTTTGTTTTTAAGTTTACTCCCTGATATAGTATAATGTATAAGAGGTAAAGCCATCTAGAGTCAAAGATGTCCTTGGTCAGATAACTGGCTCTGGTTTGCAGGAACTGAGTAGAAAGAACAAATGACTCAAGATTCAGATACAGAATTTCAGAACTAAGTATAAGCAAGATCGCATTTCTATTCAGAATGCAGACGAGCTGATGAGCTGGGAAACATGTTGAAAGTGTCTTGCAGTTTGCATCTTGACTTCCACGCTGGGGGTACCAGAATCTGGGGCTGAGCTGGTACGTTATTGCAAAGAACATGGGTTCTGATCTCAAGCTCTTCCTTCAGGGAATTTGAAACACATTTTGCAGAATAATAAGCATCAGCTTTATTTTAAAGACAGTTTTTAATCTGTTGCATTAATCTGTTGAACGGTTCTCCTTTTACTTAGGTAAGAATCACATATTTCAGGGTCTTACATTTCTCAGAAAAGACTCCAGAAGCAACAGACTTAACAAGTAAGAAGAGTAGCAAAAAGGAAAAGCGATCACTTTCTCTTCTTTTTCTCTTGTCTGATAGAAAACATAAACTTCGAAGCTTTCAAGAAGACATACTTTAAGTTTTTCAGTAACAGAAGACATTAATAGAGTGAGATCATTTTCTGTTGCTTCTTGATCCCTCATACCTCCAGAAATGGACCATGGACCATTTGGTATAGGAGGAGTGAATAGTTGAATATTGGAAAGTACAGGGCTTTTAAGCCACTTAAATAATTTTGTATAATTAACATAATATGTTCATTATTGCATAAAGGCAGTTTGAAGAATTTCTTTTTAAAATATCTTAAAATTCTTGTTAAATTGTGTTATAGACTCCTACGTTGTGTTATATTAGAGTAGATGGATCAGTCTTCATATTCACGCCAGCCCTTCTTTTAATGCACATAAAAGTCCAAAAGATACGACATTACTAAATACCATGCTTATAGACTTAATTAAAATAGTTCTTTTACAGGCCCCTAGGGAAAATATCACCTCCTTAAATCTCCTAGACTGTTTATTTACTTCACATCATTGCAAAATCAAATTTACTTGCAGTATAACAGATCATATGATATCTTAGCAGATATTAAAGGTTATACAATTAAATGTATTTGCATGGATAGCAATTTGATTGCTATCTTAATGATGACAGGACAATTTCACCCTCTTTTTTATTAGCAAGGATACCTGACTGAAGTAAAATTATGTCATGAATTTCTTTGAAATGTAATTGTGTTACAATGCCAGTGGGAACATATGTGAAAGTCTTCATCTAGTTAAAAAAAAAAAAAAAAAAACTAGCTTAAAATAGAATTTTCTTGGTATACCAGCCTTTATACAACACTCAATTTTTAAATGCTGTCACAATATACCATTAAGTAATCTAAGAGTTAATTCCAGATTTCCTCCCAAGAAATTGCACTGCCTGTTCCCTTTACCATGATAGATACCTGACGTTATCAAAGAGGACAAAACACATTATCACAGCCACGAAAGAGCTGGCATGTCATTAAACTGGTCCTCGTTGGCCAATTCAGGATGTGATGAAATAAATGTTTCAAAACTCCTAGCAACCTCAAAGGAAAGACAGTTAATTCAATAGCTACTATACATTGACCCTTGGTTAATTAAAATAGGCAAGACTTGGGGAGATGTGGTGTTTGTGGAGTCTACTGAGGAAACAAACAGCTCATGTTGTCATTTGCATGCGTTGCAATCTCTTCCTTAATTCCTCTTTACTGTGGCTAGGATACAGATTTGTCAGTCAATGTATTTTCCATTTTGGCCCTTTATAGCGTAAGTATTTATTTCCTCATAAGCAAGGTCTCCGAGGATAGTTGAATTTCAGCTTAGCTTTTGAACTCTTCCCCACAAACTGTTTTTCAGTGTTGTGAAAAGAACATGGACCATTTCAAGGGGATCGTGTCTTATTTTAATCTAGCCACATCATTGTGAGCACTTTAATTAATATCTAGGTGTCAACAGTCCTTAATTTCCCTGCATTTAAGTATCTCACTACCTGGTATAGAGGCTGAGGACAAATTGTCATTCACATGACTCATTGAGAGGCAAAGCTCAGAAAAGGACCCTGTGAGATTAGAGTCCCCACCAAAAACAATGCATTATTATTTTATTTATTTTGTGAAGTTCCCTTTCCTGTATCTTTTGAGTACAAACGATATATTGTTTGTATGTGGTCTCTTTTATTAAACAACTCACTGCTTAGACTTACAGAATTGTCATGTGAATATGAATACAAATATGGACACCCGTTTAAGGAAATTATTGTGTAGCTTTTTATTCATTACCCCAGTGACTGATGAAATCGTGAAATGCTTTATGGAATTTTTTTTTTCTCACTAAGCATAAGAAGATTAGTAAATGGTTTGAATTAGGTTGTAAGCATCTCAGAAAAACACTGAAGCAAACAAAAACAAACAAAAGCCTTTCCAGGACTTTTATCTATATGTGCTTTGTTAAGACTTTGTAGGCTTCAAATGAGCAAAAACACAACACATAGTGGCTTAAGTAAGACAAAAATGTGTTGGCTAATGGAGATGAACACCCTTAAAGTTGCTGAAGCAGTGTAGACATAGCACTGATTCTCCTCATCTCTCACTCAGCTATTGTCCATGGAGGTTCCCTTTCTCCGCCGCATTGTGAAATCCGCTTTCACAATTTTCCTACAAAAACAAACATCCATCTAGTATTGAATATTGATTCCTGGCATAGATGGTGGCAAGGAATGGCCTGACTTGAGCCTGGTCCTGGGTTCTGAAGGAGTGTGTGCCTGTGGTTGTCCCATGATGGCCTTGACCGAGGATGTGGTCAGGCGTGCAGAGAAAAGAACACATTGTCAAGGAACACCAGGGAACAACTCTGCTAAAACTCTCAACAGGCACTCGGTTGGGAAAAACCAAATGTCTATTCTAGATAAAATCCATGCCCACTCCCAGTAAGTCGAACATGAAGCAAATGCCTTACTACATGGTCTATAGATCAGAACAAGTAAGAATCACAGGTAAAGGCTGAAGTTTAAAACCATAATTGTCCATAATTAAGGTACAGTGTGAAGGTTATAGCAGGTTAGCAGTTTTCCGTGCTCATAAACTTATCTCTGGTAATTGCTCTCTAAGTTTCATAATTAACTTGGGTGTTTCATACTCACAGATTGCCCTTCTCCCTTAAAAAATAATTCGAATAGAAAAAGAATTCAGATCTCACAGTCCTGTTGGATATTTAATATCATAGAGGAGTTATGGACATAGGTACACACAGAGGAGTCACCTTAGAACTACCTTTATCACGATCTCAGGAAAAACAGCTCTTTAGAATTCAAGATTCATCCCCTGCCAGTAAGACGGAGTGATCAAACGGATGGAACAGTGTTAATTCATAGCTTTAAAGTACTTGTACTTATATTAATAAAGAACAAACGTTATTATCCCCATTTCAAAGATAAAGGGCTGAATGAGGAAGCACTTTTCTCAACATCTCAGGGTGAAAATGCCTGCGTTTAAAGCTGAACAGGAGCCTAAAGATCAATGGCCCCATCTTTGAATTTTGTGTTACAAAGAGTGAGGTCAGCCTGATGATGTGCCGGACCCAGTGATGCAACACCATGATCATTGCCAAAGCCAGGAATTGAACCAAGGCTTTTTCATAACAAATTCAATGTTTTACAAGAGATAAACCATTTCCTTCTATTCTATCCCAGAAAAGCTACTTTCTCAAAGTTTTATAAACTAAAGACTCCAGTCCCCCAATAATGAGTCACCAGTGACAAGGGAGAACTGTCGGAGAAGCCTCCTTCTAACCCTTGTAGACTGACCCTCGGTTGATTACAGACCACACCAAGGAGGCATCCCATTCTGACCTCTTCCATGACCAGCCCCAGGTCCCAAAGGCTGCCTCAGAGTCTGCAGTGTGCCCAGGTCCTCCCGTGCTCCCTTCGATCCCTTCTTAACAAGAAAACACTTGGACTTAGCTCTCCCTGAAGGGTCACCATATTTCCCAAATCCCATTTTGATTTTTGTGACTGAGAAGCACTATTTCTTTCCCAGTGGCTCTGGTTGTTTGGGTTTTGTCTTGTCTTCGTCCTGTGAAACATCAGGAATACATGGAAGTACCAGCATTCCTTTTGAAATCTCTATGAAAACTTCTCTATACTGTCAAAGACTAGACTGTCCTGACTCATTGGACATGTATGGAGCACCTGCTATATGCCTGGCACTATGATAGTCAGTTGGGGCCTGGGAGCACTCTTGGCAAACCAAGGCAGAAAGACAGCTGAATAAACATTTAAATGTGACAAGCATGATAATAAAAATATGTAGGTGTGACAGAGGACTACAGACATGGCAGCAATTAATTTTGCATGTGGCAGTCAGAGCTGGTGTCTATTTTGGCCTGCAGCAAAGAAGTTGGAAGGCCCTTGAGTAAGTAAATGTTGGTTGTATATGAAGTAAATGAGGATTAGATTAAAGATGGGAGAAAGGCAAAGGTACGTAACGGGTGATATTGACGTTCTCACCAGTTTTTCTAGAGGTCTGCATTCTTGCGTTTTCAGTATGTGAACAGTGCATTTTCTCCTAATGACATAGAACCCCCCATTCTAATACTTTCCTGTTGTCTCAACTCCCCTCTTAGGAAAACCTTCCTTGAAGACCTATAGATTCGTGGCAGTGTCTCTGGAAGTGTGGTTCCCAGATTAGCAGCATCAGCATCACCTGATGTTAGAATGAGAATTCTTAGCCGCCACCAGAGACAGACTGAATTAGACACTCTGCAGGTGGGGCCAACTATCTACACTTTCACAAGCTCTCCCAGTGAATCCGATGCATGGCAATGTTTGAGAACCCACTAATTTCTGGGATGACCCAATTAAAAGGAAACTGAAGGATCACGCAGCCCAGTATGAACTATCCCCAGGAACCAGGTAGTTTGTACTAATCACTTTTGATGGAGAAGGAAACAAAGGTTTACAGTCCCTAATTCTCTGAAACAGAGCCTAGTGAGTAGAACAGTGATAAACAAGTGCGTAAACAAATATTTATCGATAAAAATCGTGAACAAGAACTTTCAATGAAAGGTGCATTGTGTTGTGATATGGCAAAGGGAGCTGACCTGACCCAGCTGGTCAGAAGTCTTTTTAGATGAAGTGAAACTTAACTGGAGACCTGATGGGTGAGAAGTTATATTAGTAAAGGACAGTAAGAATGAGGTCTGTGGGGGCTGGAAGGGGAAAGAGGAAGATATTCCCAATAGAGGGCAGAGCATGTGCCCGGTGGCAGGTTGTCATATATGATAGAAGCTGCGTGATTCCCCAGGGGCTGTTGGAAAGCTAAGTGTATCTCTTCATGCCTTCCAGCATCCTTGAATCATCCATGTCATGTTGACTCAAACCTGTTTAACCAGTGCCTTGGCTCTTCTTGCAAACGACCCCTCTACATAGCACTAACACGGAATTGAGGCTTGCCTGACTAGAAGTTTAAAATCCCTGATATGACTTCAGAATTCTCATTGAGACCTAAGGGCTGCGCTTTCCTTTGGAAATAAATAGCCTTGCTCTACTGCCAAATGCCCCTTGAAATTTTCCAATTCCGAGACAAACTACCTAAAGCTAACTCGTGTTCTTGCAAGGCTATGCTAGGAAAGAGAGAGAGTTGAAAGTTTACGCAAGTGGGAACTTCTAGAGTGCCAAACCTCAGAAATATCCTACAAACAAGACCTAAGTCCCTTGGGCTCAGGAACTATCTCTGATGCAATAGTATTTGATAATAGTGACAGCAGTGTGCAATTATTTTCAAACATGAGGATTCTCCCCATATCATAAAGAGAGACAGACTTTGCATGTAAATTCACCACGGTAGCATGCTCTTAGTCTTTCTTCATAAGGCAGAAAACATATTACTGAAAAGTATAAAGAGAGAAACACAGCTTTTGAAGACTCATTCCAATGAGTTTTGGTTGAGTAGTAAAACTTACTTTTTACCACGGTTGTCATTATCACAGTCAGTCCTTTGAATATACCAAGACCCAAACATTTCCAGAAATTTGTCTTTAGAGAAGAGAGGCTCCCATTAATATAAAAAGAACAACAATGAAAAAAATCTTTATATTCCTTAGTAAATGTGACTACTTAGTGAATTTTGTAGTATATCTCTTAGTATATTTTAGATCACAGATGTTTTTGCAAAAACAATTTTAATAGGTTACATTTTTTTAATTTCATAGAGATTATAGATGATTTCACAGAGATGCATTCCTGAGTGACGTGGCTGAGGGTGAACAGGTCTTCTATAATCAAACCATTTTCTTCAGCCACTGCTGTAACTTCTGTAGAAAAGGCAATTTAAAAATAGAGCTCAAGAATGAGACGACTTTAAAGCATTTAAATGACACAGGAATAGGGCTGCATGTCTTGTTTGACAAGTTATGCAAGCCACCTAGCCTCAAAAATTACAATTTATTTTTTCTATGTGATTACTTGGCAAGAAGGGGATTGCTTTTGTACTTAGCATTACCCCAAGGGAGCACAGTCATTCCATTTGTAAATGTGCTAGGATCTCAGTGAG
The DNA here is from genome assembly GCF_000001405.40 of Homo sapiens. Lineage (NCBI taxonomy): Eukaryota > Metazoa > Chordata > Mammalia > Primates > Hominidae > Homo > Homo sapiens. The sequence continues at coordinate 3,807,811 of NC_000008.11, read as the reverse complement.
GGTCTGTGCATCTGCCTGAATGACAATCTAGATATCTCAGAGAGAGAACTAAAAATAGATGACTAAAGATGATTCCTGTGTAATAAAGACATTAGGATCCCTTATAGCTCAAGGAAGAAAAGCCAAAACTTAATTATATAGAGATGTGTAGGTGAATGAAAACTTCCCAGTGTTTACTGAAAACACAACTGAAACACAATTATGTTATTTAAACACAAAGAAATTGTGGCTTTGTAAGTCTGTTATTAAAATGTGCAATTAACTAATTAACATATCATTAGTATCTGTTGAAGCTCTGCCCTGGTAATGCTGCATTCATGTTTCAAAGATAACTTGACATTTCTGGCTCAGTGATCTTTGCCTTTCATTACACATATAAAAAAAATCAGAGAAAACATCCTCTGCTGAATACAGTATTGAATTTCTATAAAGGGCTTGGGAATATTCCCAGATTAATCACTTTCTATTACTTTTCTCTTTGTCAAGTACAAAACCAGATACTGTATTTTATTTTGCTGGCATGCGGTATAGGTTGCTTAAGTTTCTGTTGATCAAAGAATGGAAATTACTATGGCATTAAATATAGGTTTATCAATGTCCTGGCTTCTTCATGAAAATTTCCATTTTAGAAGGTCACAAGAGAAAATTAAAGGCTGTGGATCAAGGTTAAACTTTTCTTTAGGAAATGTGCCCTATTAAAGTCAATTTAACCTTCCCCCAGTGCGTGGGGGAAGCCATGGATAGTAATAATTAAGCTACCAGACTTGTGAGTCAGACTGCCTGGGTTACAATATTTCTAGCCCTCTAGCCAGTTTTATCTGGCACCTAGTAGCTAGAATAAATCATCAGATTAAGCAGTTGGATTAAATCCTATCTGACAATTAGAATAAGTACCTCACTACTACTGGATTAAATTATATTAAGTCTCTAACTACTGTTAATTGGTTACTAGATTACATTGTGTCTGCTAGCTAGACCAAATGGTTAGAAAAGGTAGTTCTGAACTATGCTGCACCTAGTATTTAGTAGCTAAAACAACTAACATTTTGCATTACTTGTCTTCATTGTTAAATTTGTTTTTCCATACCTAAAATGGAAATATTACCTCTCATTAGATTGTTTTGAAGATTTGATAAGATTATTCAAGTGCTCAACGCATTGTCTGATGCACATATGAAGCTGACTTACATTGATTATTGATGTTGTTCCTACTACTCTGGGAAGAAGCTCTGCAGGAGTTTACATTTCTATGATAAGTGTGCGTGTAGGTAGTGAGTGAATATGCCTCAAAGCACAGAGCACCGTGGCTCTGTGTTGGTTCTTTTGGAGACTCAGTTATAGAAGCTGATAGCTTCAAATTGCCTTCATTATTCAGGCCATGGCCGTATCAGGATGCTTGAGGGCTTCACACACGCTTTTGTGTCCCACAGGCTTCAGGGGCATATTGGTTATTATTTTCATTTCTATATACTTGGTTGTAAAGAATCTATTAATTACCCAAAGAATTAAGGCCATCATTACGATAGACAGAATGAAAACTAGGCCTTCCATCCTACTGTGAAAACAACCTGCATGTACTCCATAATCTGAGAGGAAGAAAAATCCAAAGCACTCTGCGTTTGAATGGACGACCCAAGGTATCTTATATGATGGGTTGTGTCAGGCAGAACTGTGCTGTTTTGATGCTTTCATAAATACTACAACTAAAAGGCATATTGGAGACCACTAAACCAACAATTTTTGTCCAATTATAAATTAAAATCCATTGAAGAAGTTAATGTGCAATGAAGCTGCTCCAGGTCTCCCCCAGTTTGCCTGAGCAAAAGTCTTGCCTAGAATCTGAAGACGGAAGAAGAAGGAGCCTTTCAAGAGCAGGTGTGTCAGTGCTTTCTGGTGAGCATGTCCACTACAAGAAGTGTTTGGTTTGCCCCAGAATAGAAATCTGGGAAACTGAGGCATGAAATTTTTGTCATAAAGGAAGTTGAAAAGGCTTGAATGGTAATTCTGCACAGAGTGAATGAGATGACTCACAAAGACTGGGGTAGGGGACGGACTCAAAGAGTATCACAAACAAGTAAGATTCTCGAATTAAAAAAAGAAGAAAGATAGGAAAGAATGAAACACAATGGTACAGTAGTACAATCAAATACCCAACTTGCCTTCATTTTACTCCCCACCAAGGTAATATCCTTTCTACAGGTATAACTCTTAGCTGGAAAACTGATTCAGAAAGGTTTCACCTGTTTCTTGCAAACAAACAAAAAATCTTTTCCACTGCAGATGAAAGTGTTCCAGGACTCAGAGTCATCCCTGAACATGGTCAGGAATCAGAGTGGAGGTCAGAAAGAGGGAGGGAGTAGATCATTTCTGCTCCACTCAGAGCTGCTGAGAGGTGACCACTTCTTTCCTTGTGATTACAGGGTTTTAGGGGTAACTTGTGGCTCCTCTCTTTGTAATTCTGGTATCCTGGAAAAAGTTGTAGCTTCTTGCCTTTGAGGCTGGTGTCCTGGTGGAATCTGTGGCTCCTTCCTCTGCGATGCTGATGCCCTAGGAGAAATGGTGGTTGGTTCCCTTGTGATGCTGGTGTCCCGCAGGAAACTGACTCCTTCCCTTGTCATGTTGTAGTCCTGGGGAATATTGTGGTCTCTTTGAATGGGATGCTGCTGTCCTAGTGGAATCTGAGGCAATTCTAGACCCCTTCCCATTCATAACAGTGGGGTTCCCGTAGTATCTGTTATTCTAATTCTCTGTGCCTAAGTGGTGTTATATTCCAGTGTGAATATGACCAACCAGGCCTCTTCAAGACCAGAAGAAGTGAACTGTGAAAGTGGAACGAACAATTGCTTCTCTGGCCACAGAGGTGGAGAAGTCATTCATTACTGTGCTACTAACCTGAAACTCTAAAGTAGTCATTTTTCACTAATCCATGCTACTTTTTTATAATCATGTAACAGGAAAGAAAACCTACCCTTTCTTTATGATGTGTTGTACTCAATTATTAGATATGAATAATTAGATTACCAAACATATTTTCTTTCTCAGCTACTGTAAAATTAAAGGCTAATTTCATGATCAGTTGAAGCAAATATCATACACAAATATATGTGTTTACATTTTTCTTCCTACTCACATTTCTCTTAATTTTTCTTTCACTTCTATTTTGAATTATGTGTGCATTTTATCGTAAAGTGATTTTTTAAATGAAAAAGATACTACAAAATATGCATAAAAGAAAAAATTGGACCTGTGACTGCATTTTGCTAATCTCATTTATAGCAACATGATGCGTAAATGTTTTATAGCTATTAAAATTAATAAAGTGATCAAATCCATTATTCCATAGTCCATTATAGTAAGTCATGTCAATTTAGAAAAATAGTATTTTTCATTTTCTGGAACAAAATTTAATTAATGTATTTTTTATTTGTGTCCGGTTAATTCACACTGGGTATTTTTGATACTGCTTCTTTTAAGACGCATTAGAGTTTCAACTGGTCTCAGCACAAAAAAAATTATTTATTTTAGTATTCTGCACCTGCAAGTTAAATGTTTTGAATTGACGTTTAAAATTTTGTCTCTAGGCTTGGTGTAGTGGCTCACACTTGTAATCCCAACACTTCTGGAGGCTGAGGTGGGCAGATCACCTGGGGTCGGGAGTTCGAGACCAGCCTGGCCAACATGGTGAAACCCTGTCTCTACTAAAAATATAACAAAAAAAATAGCTGGATGTGGTGGTGCACGTCTGTAATCGCAGCTACTCAGAGGCTGAGGAAGAAGAATCGCTTGAACTCAGGAGGTGGAGGTTGCAGTGAGCCGAGATCACGCCATTGCACTCCAGCCTGGGCGACAGAGCAAGACTCCACCTCAAAAAAAGAAAAAAAGAGAAACTTTGTCTCTTAACCTTCTCTCCTTGTCTGCTATTGTCACTCAAGTCAAATTCCTCTCCTCAGTAGCTTCACACCTCTTTGCCATGTTTATTAAGGTGTCTACAGTGGTCCATTCTCCACATAGTAGGCAGAAAGATATTTTCCAAATGTTACTCAAATTACTTCAGGACCCTAATCAAGATTCGTCACTGGCTTCCAATCTGAAGTTGAATAAAATCCAAACTCCTAATTCTGACCAACAAATCTCTGCGTGGTGCCACTCTGGCCTCTATGAACCCTCCTCTCCTTCCAGGCTCAAATGTTCTGAGTCCACTGCAGACACACTGGTCTTTGTTCTCCTTCATGAACCATCTGAGCCTTTCCCACCTGTGGGCTCCTGCGTACCTCTGTCCTGGGCCCAGCCCCTGGGTTTTCTGTGCATGGGCTCTTCTTGTTATTCAGCCTCTGAAGCAGTAATAACTTGGGGTTTAATATTTTCTCCTTTGAGTAATCTCCTTGACCACAAGCTCTACCTACACTACCTGTTTCCTCTCCAGCGTGGGTTCAGTGATCAGCTTACCATTCAAGTCTTGTCTTGTCTTGTCTATTGAAGTATTTGTGTATAGCAGTATCTCCCTACCCAGCTGCTGCTAAACCGTCAACTTTATGCAATGAGAACCCGTGTTCCTGACTTTATGCCAAGCAGTCAGAATGGGGGTTGGCACACAAGTCATCACTCAAAAATTATTTCTGAACAAATGAATGATTTTATATTGCTTTCAGCATGATTAGAACATGAGTACTTAGAATGAAGTCCTTCAAAGAGACAGCATGATGGAGAGAACACTGCATTTTGATAGAGATAGACCAAAAGGCTGTTGCCACCACTTTATTCATCTTCCGCATTTTTTTCTGGATTTCATTGTTCTTATCATTACAAAAGGAAATAATAAATATTTCACCCTACAACATGATCATGAACATTTTTGGCTGATTATTTTCAAGTCTTTCTTTTGTAGGTTCTTTCAAAATTCCTGTTTTCCTTTGTCAAATCAAACTATTCTTTTTAAAGACCACATCATCTAAGGGCCAGTGCGGATGCTTAAAAGTGCCCTTCACTTGATGGAGAAACGAATCGAACATTTCTTTAGTTAAAGCAAAGGGAGCTAAGCTTTAAATTTTCAAGCATTTGCATCACGCTTTTGGGATGTCTTTTAATTAAAATAAATTAAAATTGTCAAGCACTATATTTTATTGCGTTTTGAAGTGTCATGAGTAGAGAAGTAAAGTGACAAGCTCATGATTGCTTTATTACTAAAGGCTTAAAATTATATAAACAGTTGGTGAATTACATCCTGCAATAAGCCTGTATTTCTCCCCTTAACTAAGTAGGTGGCAAAATTATTCTGCTAAATGTATTTCCCACTGAGCTTAGAAAGTGACCTCACATCAATTTCACATGAATGAAGTTGATACTTATGTATCAGGCTGACAAATTTAATAAGAAAAAAATGTCTAAAGAATAATAGTGTTTGTTTGAAAATGATGCAACATTGTCCCTTTCAATTAAATATCTCTATAAGCACATGCACACATATACAGATGTATAACATAATAGGAATTACTATAATAAATGGCAATAGTATTTTAAAGTGGAAAAATAGCAGAAATCTCATCCATGTAGATGTTCCAAACTCATTTTATGCCTCTATCATGTATATTTTTAAGAATTTACAAGGTGTGATAAGCCCTTCTTTAATGTCTTTCTTTATTGTCATAGTAATTATTTTTTGAATGCTGCAGTATCTGAGGATATTTTTATTTTACCTTTTTAAAACAATGTTATTAAGATAAAATTTACATATCCTTAAGTTTATCCACATAAAGTGTGCAATTCCATGAATTTTTGTATGCTTACATCATCGTGCAGTCATCACAATCCGATTTTAGAATATTTTCATCACCCCTAAAAAATGTTCTGTACCTATTATCAGTCATTTTCTGTTCTACCCTGACTCCCCACCCTATACCCTAGGCATTGGGTATTATATGAGATCTCATAATATGTGGTGTTTTGTGATTTTTCATTGACTTACTTTAATGATTCTGGTCCCTCAGTATTCCAACATACCTTAGTACTTTGTTGATTTTTAATGACCCGTAAAATGCTACTGAATGTGTATGCTATATTAGTTTGTCCAGAGTCATCAGTTGGTGAATGCTTGAATTGTTTCCATATTTTGGATATTATGAATGATGCTGCCATGAATATTTGCCCACTAGTTTTTGTGTTACTATATGTTTTCAGTTTTCTTGGGTAGAAAAACTAGGAGTGGAATTCTTTACTCACAGGGTAACAGTAATTTTAACCATTTGAGGAATTGCAAAACTGTCTTCCAGCATATCTCTAACATTTTACTTTCCGACAAGCAACACGAGAGGGTTCCAATTCTCTACATCCTTGCCAGTGCCTATTATCATCTGTCCAGTGATAGCCCTTCTAGTGGGTATGAAATGGTATCTCATTGTGGCTTTTCTCACTGTGGTTTTAAATTTAATTTCTTAAATGACTAATGATCTTTAGCATCTTTTCATGGGCTTATTGGCCATTTGTATGTCTTCTTTGGAGAAATGTCTATTTAAATCTTTTTCCCAATTTTTAATTGTTAGGGTTTTTGTGGTTGTTGTTGACTTGTAAGTTCTCTCTATATATTCTGGTTATTAGACCGTTTTGGATGTAGTATTTGCAAATATTTTCTCTCATTATGTGGACTATCTTTTCTTGGTGGTATCCTTTGCAGCAGAAAAATTTTTAATGTCGGTAAAATTTAACCTTTCCGTCTTCTTTAATTCCTTGTGCTTTTTGTATCATATCAAGGGAAGCATGGCCTCAACCACGGTTATAAAGATTTACTCTTTTGCTTTTTTCAAATATTTTTATGATTTTAGCTATGAAATTTAAATTGTCTTAGTCTGTTTTGTGTTGTGATAAAAGGAATATTTGGGGCTGGATAAATTATAAAGAAAGAGGTTTATTTCACTCATGGTTGTTGGGGGCCATAGCAGAAGCATGGCACCAGTCTCTGGTGAGGGCTTTTGTGCTGTGTCAAAACATGATGAAGAAGGTCAAAGGGGAAGTGGGCACGTACAAAATACAGCCAAACATGAGGAGGGAATTTGCTTAAAAACAAACTACCTCAACAAAACTAATCTTTTCCTTCAAGAACTGTTCTTACCTTGTCAGAACAAGAACTCACTCACTCCCACGAGAATATCACCAAGCCGTTCATGAGGGTTCTGTCTGCATAACCCAAATACCTCTTCTAGGCCCAACACTGACACATTGGAGATCAAGTTTCAACATTGGTTTTGGTGGAGACAACCATATCCAAGCCATTGCATACCTCTATGATCTCCTTTGAGATAATTTTTCTGTATGGTGTGAGGTAGGGATCCAAATGCATTTTTGCATGTGGATATCCAGTTGTCCCAGCACTTTTTGTAGAATTTATACTATTTCTCAAGCACTTCACAGGTGTCAATAATTGCATTAAATTCATTGTGTAAGCTCATTTGTTTCTCAAAACACTTCCGGAACAATAATATTTTGACATATTATAAAATTAAGGTATGTGATTTGCCCAGTATAACTTCTCATGGCATTAAACTTCTTGTATTCCCAATATATAATGTTATTCCAATAAAGGATGACTGTATCATCATCAATAAGTTTGTTGAAAGTTCTGCTCTCTGCTGAATTTTCATGTCTAGCCACTGATTTTTGTTCTTTTTCCACATGGAAACAACTCATACACAATATAAATAGCGCCATATACTTCAGTGGATCTTAGCACAAAGCCTGTAGCATCAACTGCAAATGTTTTTCTCCATATTTCAGTGACAAAAGAATTGAGGTTCAAAAGTCAAGTGATTTTACAAGGTTACACAAATAGTGGACTTCAGAGTGAAATGCTTATACCCCAGACATTTTCATTATTCCATTATTGATAAGGATATTTGAGAAACAGGAAAGTTGCATTAATTTTTCAATTATATAGCAAGTCAGCAATGTAGCTTAAATTCAGGACTGTGATCTTCCAAAACCTAGCCTCATGTCCATTTAGATTAGAGATTTGTAATATTCACTATAGAATTTCATAGATATGAAAATTGGATTTAGCAGTGAGTAAAGTTTTGTACAGCTTATTATAAAACAATGCACAGAATGTCAAACGTTCAGCTGGCAGACTTAACTGTCAGATAAGGAAGCAAAATTTGCCTCAAATACATAACTTGTTTTCTGCAATGCTACAAGTACAAGCCAAATGGGGTCTTTCTTTACTGTACCAATGAAAAGTTGATGTATTCAGTTTCAAATGATAAGGTTTTATTAGTCACATATTTTAGATCATCCATTTTACCTAATGTTACATGTATGCTTTACTTCTTCAAATCCATGTCTCACTTATAGGTGGGAACTGAACAGTGAGAACACTTGGACACAAGAAGGGGAACATCACACACTAAGGCCTGTCGTGGGGTGGGGGGAGGGGGGAGGGATAGCATTAGGAGATATACCTAATGCAATTGACGAGTTAATGGGTGCAGCACACCAGCATGGCACATGTGTACATATGTAACAAACCTGCACATTGTGCACATGTACCCTAGAACTTAAAGTATAAAAAAAAATGCTGTGATCAAAGAAAAAAAACTGTAGAATCAGTTGTGAAAGGTAAGTTATGTGCTATTCCTCTTTTTCTTATGATAGTCAAATAAATACATTATAAAACTTTTTATTGAAGTGTTAAATAAAACTATTAAACTATGTAGCAAATTGAGGATAATAAAAAATGGCATTTGGAAGTTTTTCATGTTCTAATTATTTAAGCATACTATACAAAGATTGTTAACTTTTTCAGATCTGAAAAAGTATTATATTACATTTATATGGCATATTTATTATTCACCCATATATATAAATGGATCTACTAAAGAGTTTTTATATATATGATATGTTTAGCTTGACTCCACATTTCTTCTTTTGCACCTATAAACTTGACTATGTCTGTATGAACAAAGGAAAATAGGAAAGAGTAGGAAAATACAACATTTTACTAAATTTCAACCAACACGAATTTATAAACAGATGTCCCATAATTAAATACAAACATAGTAAAAAAAATTTCTAAATACTGATCTATAGTGACATTTTTGTATATGTATACATACAGTTATGTTTGTACATGTGTATATACACTTATATGTGTGTAAATGCATCTTCTTGAATAAATGTATGTATTTTTTATATAGCATGAGTACTGGCTTCATGGAAGCAAAGTTAATATTTTATTTATAATTGCCTTTTCATTGCAATCACCTCTCAAAACTCTGGAAAAGTGTTTTCATATGATCTTTGCTGTCTTTCCTCTTCTTTCTCACCTTTTGACCTTCTGCAGTATATCCACAAGATATGAATCAAGTGGTTCCTGAAATCAAAATGAGTATATCAGTGAAACTGCACTCTTACCTCACACTCACACTTGGGCATATAAGAGACCCAATTAAAAAACTAGAGGCTAATGTAAGAGAGTGACTTACTGCCATCAGATATACTGAGTTGTCTTAAGATAGACGAAGCACTAATCCTAAGAGGAAATAACATTGATAAATAAGATATTATTAAAAAGTACCATTATGAAAATAAAAAGGAAAGCTACAGCTCATTTCATACAGAAATGAACTCTGTAGCGGAAAATGTTAAAAATTGTTTTATCTAATAAAAGACTACATATGATGCACTAAACATATTTATATACTGAATTCCTCTAAATAAATAATAAAAAACCCACTAAGACTTCAATCATCACAATACTTCAATGGATTATTAAGAAGAAATAAAAATGGTCAAAAAAGCACCTGAAAAGTTTATCAACATCAATAATCTTCAAGGAAATGCACGTTGAAACCGCAATGAGATGCCAGTAAATAGTTATGAGAACAGCTAAAATTACAAAACTTGACAATATCAAATGTTGACAGGGATGCGTAACAACTTGCATGCTCACTTACTGTGGGAATATAAAATGGTACAATCACCTTAGAACAATCGTTAGTGCTTTTATATGAAGTCAGACATATACCTACCTAATAACCTAGGAATTTTCTGTTTTATCACGTTTAATGAAAATACGTGTCCACAAAATATTTTGTATAAGAATATGTATAGCAGCTTTGTTTGTATTAGCCAAAAGGTGAAACAATCCAAAAGTCCATTAATTGGAGAGATAAATTATAACATATTTGTATAAAAGAACACTACCCAACAATAAAAAGTGTGACTTGCTGAAACATAAAACATTTGTGAATCTTGAAAATATTATATTGTGAGACAGAATCCAAATTTAAGAGAGCTTGCCTAATATATAATTCCATTTATATAAAGTTAAAGATCAGATGTAATGAATTTATGGTAATAAAACCAGAAAAGTTGCCTGTGGAGGGAAGGGATGGAAACTGAATGTAAGAGGAAAAATGAAATTTCCATATTGATGAAAATGTTTTATGCCTGCATCCGGGGTGTGGGCTCTACTTGTGACAGTGAACAGTTTGTCAACAATCATTGAATTATATAACAAAGACATGTGCGTTTCCTGGAAGTATATTTTACCTCAATTTTAAAAACTACTTTATAGCCACTTGAGTTTGAAAATAGAGATGGTTGAAGTTCTTTGATATTTCAGATTGAAGTTCTTTGACATTTCAAGTTGAATAGACTTTGAAATTCAATTATTATGTTGACTGTATTTTATTAGTATACTTCATTATTTACTTATGTTTTAAATGTTCACCCATTAAAGGAGAAGTCCATCTTAATAAGTGATACATTGCCCTACCACGTATGTGCTGATATATTTTTAAATTTATATAATTAACAACATTATTAAATATTACATTAACTTTTTAGCTGTGGGGAATTATTTAATTATACTTCATCTTCATTACATATTAACCAAAATCTTCATTAGGCTATAATGAGTTGTTAGGCAGAACCGTGAGGAATTTCCATTTTTGTAGAAACAATAGAATGAAATGTTGACAATTGCCTAGCTTTAAGCTTATCTCTTATGTTGATACCATGAAAATGAAGTGAATGGAATTTCAAGAATATGATGATCAGAATATTTTGTATAATTGCAACCACCTATAACAAGGTGACATATAGAATTGTTTCCTACCCATTCTCATCTTTTCTAACCTTCCAATGTATACATATAGATATATAGGTGGATATATATCTATATCTATACATTAGAAGATATATATCTATACATCTATACATTATAGATATATATCTATATATTATATCTTAGATATAGATATATATCTATCATGTATGGATATAGATATATATCTTAGATATAGATATATAGATATATATATCTATATCTATACATGATAGATAGATATCTATATACATGATAGATATCTATATCTATACACGATAGATATATATATCTATACATGATAGATATATATCTATATCTATACATGATAGATATATATATACATGATAGATATCTATATCTATACATGATAGATATATATCTATATCTATACATGATAGATATCTATATCTATACATGATAGATATATCTATACATGATAGATATATATCTATATCTATACATGATAGATATATATCTATATCTATGATAGATATATATCTATATCTATGATAGATATATATCTATATCTATGATAGATATATATCTATATCTATGATAGATATATATCTATATCTATGATAGATATATATCTATATCTATGATAGATATATATCTATATCTATGATAGATATATATCTATATCTATGATAGATATATATCTATATCTATGATAGATATATATCTATATCTATACATGATATATATCTATATACATGATAGATATATATCTATATCTGTACATGATAGATATCTATATCTGTACATGATAGATATCTATATCTGTACATGATAGATATCTATATCTGTACATGATATATATATCTGTACATGATAGATATATATCTATATCTGTACATGATAGATATATATCTATATCTGTACATGATAGATATATATCTATATCTGTACATGATAGGTATATATCTATATCTGTACATGATAGGTATCTATAGCTGTACATGATAGGTATCTATAGCTGTACATGATAGATATCTATAGCTGTACTTGATAGATATATATCTATATCTATACATGATAGATATATATCTATATCTATGATAGATATATATCTATATCTATACATGATAGATATATATCTATATCTATGATAGATATATATCTATATCTATGATAGATATATATCTATATCTATGATAGATATATATCTATATCTATGATAGATATATATCTATATCTATGATAGATATATATCTATATCTATGATAGATATATATCTATATCTATGATAGATATATATCTATATCTATGATAGATATATATCTATATCTATGATAGATATATATCTATATCTATGATAGATATCTATATCTATACATGATATATATCTATATACATGATAGATATATATCTATATCTACATGATAGATATCTATATCTGTACATGATAGATATATATATCTGTACATGATATATATATCTGTACATGATAGATATATATCTATATGTGTACATGATAGATATATATCTATATCTGTACATGATAGGTATCTATATCTGTACATGATAGGTATCTATAGCTGTACATGATAGGTATCTATAGCTGTACATGATAGATATCTATAGCTGTACATGATAGATATCTATAGCTGTACATGATAGATATATATCTATAGCTGTACATGATAGATATATATCTATAGCTATACATGATAGATATGTATCTATAGCTATATATGATAGATATGTATTTATAGCTATACATGATAGATAGATATATATCTATAGCTATACATGATAGATATATATCTATAGCTATACATTAGAAGGTTAGAAAAGATGAAAATGGGTAGGAAACCATTACAGACAGTAAGAGAGAGAGAGAGATCATTGGTAAATTGATCCCGGATATGGGCTTCCTTGATAATTTTACCTTCAGAATTAAAGTTTATTGACAAGTTGGTTGTCACTTTAGAGATGTGTTATTTTGTTTCAGAGTACAGTCTTGACCTGGAAGTTGCAACTGTGAGATATCGGAGGAGTTTTGCTAGGTTTACAGTCAAGCAGTGAGATTTTTTCCAGTAGGATAAATACCAAATAATCACATAACTTCTAGTCATGTGTTTAGCAAATTAAAAAATAATTATTAATATATCGAGAAAAAAATGGAAAAATAAACCAATGGGTTACTAGCACTTTGATGGCAGGAAAGTTGTATTAAATACTTATTTTAGTATTATAACACACAATACAATGTAATGCAGAGAGTAGCTATGAAAAACTATTTGTTGATTTAATTGGTTTATAAGTACTGATTCTATGATCACTACATTTAACAAAGGTACAGGTTGTTAGTGATAGAAAACTACATGGATGAAACTTCATGATCTATAAGTGTTTTATTTAGCAAACATATGTTTACTCAGCTTAAAAATCACCAGGCGCAGAGTTTTCAGTTTGAAGTCGCTACACCTAGGAATACTAAGGGAAGTAGCTGCAGGCCATCAACATCTCAACTGCGTAGAACAGGATTGTCCCAAGAAGGAAACCCCTCCCCTTAAACCAGTGCTTCTCAAGCTTTGAGTAACATAAAGTCATTTGCTGGGATAATGGGAAAACACAAACACCGGTTCATTAGGCAGGGTGTGTGCCTGCGACCCTGCATTTTTCATGAGCCATCAGGGGAAGCCAATGATGGTGGAACACGGTTCGTCATTTGAGTAGCAAGTCTTTCGTCTGTCTACGCGTGGGATAAGCAGGGGTTCAGGAAGAGGAAAGCAGAAGAACCATTTATTACACATAGCAGCATTTACCCAGCTCTGGGGGAGAGTATCAAGAGAATCACAGCAATTCCAAAGGGAACTCTGCGATTTGACAAATGGTCCATCAGCGACACTCAGTCAATATTTATTGAGTGATTCTTGTATGCAGATCCTGACATTTAGTGCCCTGGGGCATAAAAGGAGGTAGAAGGCAAGGTCTCTGTCGTCAAGTTCCTACCAGTTCCAGAGAGATCCTACGAAAATAAAAAGTGCACAAGACCACAAATAAACATATTAACTTACCCTGAATAATGAATCATGAGTGGTTTACAAATGCTGAGAGATCATCCAAGCAATTGAGGTGAGGCTTCTGGGGGACATTTGGGAAGGTTTACTGCAAGAGAGGCATGTATTAGGGTACAGGGTGGCAGGCTTTGGAGGAGGGGGTGTCATGTGGAAGCCCAGAGATCGAATCCAGAGATCCACCTAGAGAGGGGGGCACAAGAGGGCTGGCTTGGCTGGATGGGGGGCATGGCAGGAGTTACTAGAAAGGGGAGTTCTTGCAGAGACAGTGGCAACATTCTTGAAAGTAGGCAAGGAAAAATATGGGTTGGTTTCTGAACAGAAAAAGAAAATGACAGAATTTAAATGATAGTCATGGACATTCTAGCTGCATAAACAGATGGGAATGGAAATTCTAAAAATAGGAAAATTGCCTGAGAGACTGCTGCAGTCGCTTGAGATTGATGACCATTAAGGTCTGGAACAGGACTTAGACCATAGCGGTTGAGAGAAAAATTGCTAAACAGAAAAATGCCAAAATCCATCAGCCCCTCTGCAAAGTGGTAAATTATTCGAGCAGTTCCTTCCACTCTTGTGGGTATCCTCCTCGAGACACTTTTGGAAGTGTTAATTGCCCCTTTCTACTCTTTTGGGTGTTTTACTCCATTCTTAGCACTCGCCCATCCTCAGAGTTTAAGCAGAGTGAGGAAATTCACACCTGTGGTAGAGTGGATGGTTCTAGACGGTGATCCTTCACAGTGGCAGTTGTGCATCTGAAAATACCAAAGGAAAAAGACCCTAACGGTAAATCTCAGGTAGGTTAGATGTTCTCAAGGCAAGTATGTAGGGTGACTTAAAATTTCATCCTGTGCTTCAAGTCAAATACAGAGAGTAGTTGTTTCTCTGTCATTATCAATATATGCCTTAAATTGTGAGAGAGAGCATGAAAAGGCAGTTCTCAACATCAGAAAATGAGCATTCTGGTTGAAACTCTTTCACCAACTTGACTGTGTCAATTTTAGAAAAGATTTCATGATTGCGGTCTCTGTTTTGTTTTCTGTAACATGGCAAATGATTAACTTACTGCCTGTCATGATTTGTCTGAGGGTGAAAGGAAGAGGAAGGTATGTGGGAGCTAACAAAGGAGGAGTCAATTCCAAAGTTACTAGTCTGAAAAATAAATCAATTGTGAGATAATTGACAGTAATCAGCGAGTTGCAAAAACGCTTTGGCATTTAAGGCAAAAAGTAAGCTCTCCGTCCTCATCTTGTTCAGTTTTGCCTTTGTTTTTATAACCAAATATATATGTCATGGTTAAGAAATGAGGCAGGAAGTGGCTACATTAATGATCATAATGTACATGTGGGTGTTCATTGATTTTATTATTATTATCTCCCAGGAAGTTTTTTTCTTCTTCTTTTTGAGACCAGGTCTCTCTCTGTCACCCAGGCTGGCATGTAGTGGCACTATCATAACTCCCTGCAGCCTCGCCCTCCTGGGCTTGAGCGATCTCCCATCTCAGCCTCCCCTGTAGCTGGGACTACACGTGTGCACCATGACACCTGGCTAATTGTTCAACTTTTCGTAGAGACAGGGTCTCCCTATTTGGCCCAGGCTCAGGAAGTCATTCTTGAAGGAGGAAAACATAGAGATTTGGTTAAACTTTGAGGTTGCCCAAGTTAATTGACTGTCAAAACATTAGAAGTAAACAAAAGAATTAGAAATCAGAAAAGAACAAGGAAGTGATGTGTCTGAAGGATAATAAGCTATTAGGTTGGTGCAAACGCTATTGAGGTTTTTGCCATTACTTTCAATGCCAAAAACTGCAATTACTTTTGCACCAACCTATACAAAGGGTTTGATACATTATTTTTTTATTATTATTATTATTTGATACTGAGTCTTATTCTGTCACCCAGGCTGGAGTGCAGTGCTGCGACGTCGGCTCACTGCAACTTCCACCTCCCAGGCTCAAGCGATTCTCTTGCTTCAGCCTCCTGAGTTGCTGGGATTACAGGTACCCACCATCGTGCCCAGCTAATTTTTGTGCTTTTCTAGAGATGGGTTTTTGCCATGCTGACCAGGCTGGTCTTGAACTCCTGACTTCATGTGATCAACCCTCCTAGGCCTCCCAAAGTGCTGGGATTATAGGCGTGAGCCACCATGCCCGGCCTGTTAAGGTAATTTTAAAATTGTCCATACCCTTGTTGTAGAGATGACTTTTCAAATTATTCAACTAAAGAACGTATTACAAGCTACGTATCAGCACTATGCTAGGATGCTGTGAGAAATACAGAGGAATTTTAAGAATCCCCTGTCAAAGAGCTTTGAAAGATTTTCTTCACCAAATTTATTTTTTCACATTGTTTCAGGTTATCCTATGAAATTCTACTATACTTAAATTCAGATACCTAAATTTATGTTCATTAATTAGAGCAAGTTTATCATACATGCTTTGGATATAATTATAGAATCTCTAAAAGCATTTTGGTGGTGGAAGTTTATGTTTGGGGTAGGGGTTTACAAACACATCTAAATGCTCCTAAAATATAAGTAATAACCTAGAAGAATATGTTTGTCATGCACTCCAGCTTTAAAAGTTATAAAGTGTTCCATCACACTGATTTTATGAAATTAATTTCTCACCAAGTAGCCATAAATCATATTAAAAATGATCATGGTTTTAGTGGAGTCTTTATAACCTGAAGGTGTTGCATTCCATTTGCCTATAATTGAAGAATATTTTTGACCATCTTTCCTGTGAGTTAAAATGACAGGTGTCATCTGTTGCTCTTAGGACCTGACAGTTTTGACACATCCATTCATTAGCGACAGTTTCCATCTCAAAAAGTAGCTGCCTGGGAGAGGGACGGTTACTCAGGGCTCTGACATCTCCAGGTCCCATTATCGACCTCAATGTTGCAAAAACCCCAAACTCACTATACTCAGCAGTTATTTCTGAAGGTCGTTATCTTTGAAATGGAGAAGTTTGGGTGTTTTTGTCAAAGGTATCTAGATATCAAAAAGATAAAACAAACCCTGTTAACAACAACAACAAAATCCCAGCTATTATCTCTTTGTGTTTTGATAAGTTGTTATTGTGAAATGTAATTGTTGTGTATGCCAAAAACATAAAAAAAAATTATGATTGTTCCTAGTTGTCTAAGTTTCTGTTGTTATTATCACCATCACACGGTTATCACCGTCATAATTACCATCACTCTCACCATCATCATTAGCATCACCATCAACATTACCATAACCGTGTCATCATCACCATCATTATAATACTGTTATCACCATTGTCATTATAACTGTCAAACATCACCATCATCATAACCATCACCGTCACTATCACCACCATCATCATCACCATCACCATCATTATACATTTGAAGTTACAGCCAGTAGCTACACATGACTTACTTCATCTTGTTTTCTGTTATTTCGTTTCAGTTTGATTGATAATGCACTCTTCCCTGATAAAGGAGTTTTGTGTAGGCAGCACTGATTCACTAGATGCAAAAGAGTTCTGATTATGTATTTGAAATTATAAAACGGCATGTGAGCCAAGGCAATTTAAATTCGAAAATAACTATAAGCAGCTAACACTTTCATTTAATAGACATATAATGGACCTTCATTGACATTCTCTAATTTCTTACATTAATATTAACCATGATCGGCCGGGCATGGTGGCTTACGCCTGTAATCCCAGCACTTTGGGAGGCCGAGGTGGGCGGATCACAAGGTCAGGAGATCGAGACCATCCTGGCTAACATGGTGAAACCCCGTCTCTACTGAAAATACAAAAAATTAGCCAGGCGTGGTGGTGGGCAGCTGTAGTCCCAGCTACTTGGGAGGCTGAGGCAGGAGAATGGTGCAACCCCCGGGAGGCGGAGCTTGCAGTGAGCCAAGATAGCACCGCTGCACTCCAGCCTCGGAGACAGAGTGAAACTGTGTCTCAAAAAAAAAAAAAAAAAAAAAATTAACCATGATCATTTTAACATCTATGATAAATACTAAATAAACAAGGTCATACATGTCTCATTAAGCAATTTTGGGTTTTCACTATTATTTTTTAGAGGACTTAAAGACTAAAAGAATTATTCAGTATCTCTAGTCATATAAGCTTTATTTAGCAAGTGAGTGAATATATTACTTTAATTTGGAGTATTAAAGTACTAGCATAAAAACCTGAATGGTAGCATTTCATAATCTGTATTCCTTTTCCTGTTAAAGTTTTGTCCCTTACTTAAAAAAAAAAAAAAACACTTAAAAAAAAACACTACTTAAAAAAAAAAAACTTACTTAAAAAAAAAAACACTACTTAAAAAAAAAAACACTAGCAATACAAGCAGACACAAGTTACATTATTCTCTGTATTAGTCTGTTGGGGCTGTCACAATAAATATAAACTGGGAAGCTTGAAAACAACAGTTCAGGAGGCTGGGAAGTCCAAAACCAAGGCATATTTTGTGTCTGGTGAGGGCCCACTATCTTGCTCATACACAGCGCTTTCATGTTGGATCCTCACATAGTGGAAAGGTCAAGGAAGCTCTCTGGGGCATTGCTCTAAAACAAAGGACTTAGTCACCTTCCAAAGGCTGTACCACCTAATCCCCCCATGTTGGTGCTTAGGTTTAGCATATGAATTTTGGAGGGACAGAAACATTCAGAACATAGCATCCTCCTAATTTGGGAAGAGTGTAATACAGTGGAAATAACTTACAATTTGGAATCAGATTATCTGCATTTAAATTCTACAATACTGTCTAGGAAATACGTACCCATAGCCTAAGTCCCTTTCCTCCTCTGAGCCTGTGTTTCTTCAGGTATAAAATGGGCGAGATCATAATTTCTACCCCAGAATGTTAGTGTGAAGGTTGCATGAAATACATAAATGCGTCTGTCCTGTGTATTGATTTTGCACTCTCTTATGCACACATTCAGAAATGGAACAACTGCATGGATGTGAAAGTGCTTTCTAATCTCTGAATGGCTACTTAGACTCATAACTGTGTCTGTAGATGGAGAGGTACTTACATTTTTGTCTACATTTATCTACCTCAGAGGGCTCAAGTAAAATGTAGATGAACTAAATCTTTACAATCCTATTAACACCTTTGGTAAGATTTAATGCATTAAATTAATTGACGGATGGATGGATGGTTGAATAAATATCTGAGGTGAGATGAAGGAAACTATTGATCCTGAAGTTCTTAAGTAGGAAAGAATTCCCCAGTTCTATTTTGATTTCTGCCTCTTATCTCAGCTGGTTCTTCTGTTGGGCACCTCCAGAAGCCTCACTTGGGTCTTCTGTGACCAATGAAGGCTGCTGTGGGCACAGGGAGGCATGGGCTGCACACCTCAGGGTACCTAAAGCCCATCCCTTAATTTATTATGCATTTTACTAAAATGCTATGAAAAAGTTCCTTAAGAAAGAAAACTGATGTTTAGCTCCATCTTGTTTAAATGCAGGTCTATGCCTGTTAAATCCTGTGATCCAACTATCTGTAATTTGTAATTATGTAGTATCACATGAATCCCTTGTTTTACAAATGATTTCATCTCCAAGTCCTGAGAATATTTTAAAGAAAATTTTAGAACTAAGCGTTGCAAGTCTTCCCAAAGAACACTCACTGGATGGAGAGGCTTTTTGAGCCAGTGTGTGAGGTTAAGACTCTAGCCAAAGACACCTCTTTTTTACTCTTGGTCTAAAACTCACAGCTCCCAATTATTCAAGAGCATTAGGAGCCCATGCAAGGATTTCTGCCCATCTCCTTCCCCTCACAACTACAGAGATTTAATCTGGCAAAATAGAGTAACACTCTCTCATACTTATACTATTTTGTGATAGAACTTTTCTTGCTTTGCAAGATAGGACACTGATTTCTTATTCCAGCACATTTAAAGTACTAAAAAGTGCCAGTTCCTAGCTTGTATTATAACACTTCTTAACTTCCCCATACAGGGTCTATGTTTTTCTTACAAATGTAATGTAAATTTCTAGTTGTGTGAAAACTTACAATAATTTGTAAACAATACTAAATTATATTACCAAGCTGCCTTATTTCTCCTTGGAATAAAAATACTTATACAGAATTAACTGTTGTAGCAACTACATCTTTAATTAAGGTACCTGGAAAATCTGTATCTTCTTACCTATTCATGGATATGAATATTTTCTTAATTGCTGTTAGGTTCTTCTGATAA
The DNA here is from genome assembly GCF_000001405.40 of Homo sapiens. Classification (NCBI taxonomy): domain Eukaryota; kingdom Metazoa; phylum Chordata; class Mammalia; order Primates; family Hominidae; genus Homo; species Homo sapiens. The sequence goes on along the minus strand of NC_000008.11, from coordinate 3,787,498 downwards.
GCTGTCATTTTTTTGATTAATCACTACTTTGTTTTTCACATGAATTATTGTATATCATTTAGAAAATGAATTGAAATTCATGAATTTCCCACAAAACAGGAGAATCCTGGTTATCTGCTTACTTAATTGATTTTGCAAGCAAAATGGCATCAACATTGAACTGTTTTCTCTATAGCTTTCCAATTTAAATATCCATGAAATCAATTTTCTAAAATTGATTATGGTTTTTCACAACTCACAAGTTTTTTCAAATTCTTTTTTTGTTGTTGTTTTTCATTTTCCTCAGCATAGGAATACAAAATTCTGGACATTTTTTCCTTTCTAGAAAGTGAAAGCTACCTGATTACATGTTCAGAATATGTTTTGACTACCCTTCCTCTTGAGTTATGTTGTTACCATAAAGCTTGGTTTAACCCTCTGTAAACACACTCTAAACTCAGAATAAATATGACACTTCACACATAGAAGTTACTTAAGTTAGACTTCAGATCCTGACCCTCAGCTTCCATGCCCTCATCTAATCTAGATGATGAGGATTGAATGCCGGTGTCCATCCAAATTCCTGGGTTGAAATCCTCATCCTAAAGGTGCTAGTATTAGGAGGTGGGGCTTTTAGGTCAGGAGGGTGTGGCCCTCATAATGTGATTAGTGCCTTTATAACAAGAGCCAGTAGAGATTCTGTTTCCTTCTTCTCTCTCTACCACCTGAGGACGCAAGGGGAAGATAGCCCTCTGTGAGCTTGAAAGAAAGTTCTCATCAGAGCCTTGATCATGGGCTTCCACCCTCTAGACAGTGAGAAATACATGGTTTTCGTTTAAGCCACAAAGTCTGTAGTATTTTATCATAGCATCTCGAGTGAACTAAGATGCTAGATTTAAGCAACTGCTTTGCTGAGAGAGCCCAACAGCGATTTTCCTGTCCATCCTAGGCCGTTGTAAAGTCCTCAGTCTGCATGATTACTCGGGAGCTGTGATATTCTTGGCTCTCACCCACTCCTAGGTTGTCTGACACTATCTGTCACCATTCCTCCTGCTTCCCCTTATTTATGGCTTTACAGATGCTTTCTCTCGTACTTTTGTGGTCCCCCAAACTCTTGTTCGATCCTCTTCTTCTCACTCTAGTATCTCCCTAAATGAGGTCACCCAAGCCCGTGGTCTCAGTGACCCTCCATCCAACAGACAGAGGATTTTTGTCTCCACCCTCAGGTCTCTTCTAACCTCCATGCCCATGTATCCACTCTTGCCTTGACATCTCCCGACAATGTCTTAGCGACACCTTGATCCCAACGTGCCCAAAATAACAGGGGAGATCTCATGTCCCAATCTGGCCCCAAACCAGGTGCTCCTCTGTGTCCTGTTTTGCTAAGCAGCCTCACCTCTATTTGATTCACAAACTACACGCCTCACACCCAGTCTTTCAATGAGGCCTGCTCATTCTCACCTCCCAAACATCACTTCTTCCGTCCTTCTAATTTTCTTCACCCCAATGCCCACCAGCCCAGCCTAAGTACTCAGGTCTCCTGGGGAAAACTGCAGAGCTTCTAACCCAATTGTCTGCCTTCCATTTCCTCGGCTCCAAGAATGGTGTACAGAGAAATCTTGTTAATGTTTAGACACAAACATGACATATCCCTCTTTAATTGCTCTACTTCCCAAAGCCCTCAGGAATAAGGAAGAAGCTCTTCAACATAGCTCTTCCGCAGCCTGGACCTACCTACTCTTCCAGGTTCCTGGGGCACCATAGGCTTCCTAGCTCCTGGCTCCCCGCACCCTGGGCCTCTCACTTCTTGGTAGCACGTGGCTCCTCCATGCACACAGCCCACACTCACCCTCAGGGCGATGCCAACTCTTCCTTCAATAAACACTCGATGGTAACTTGCTTCTAACATCTTATAAATGAGATCAAATGATCCAATTAAGTGTTCTTAGCACCGCTTACCTCTCCCTTCAAGCCCTGATTGTGTTTGTGGAAGTACACCTAGGTGTTTGACTGCCGTTAATGTATTTTCCAACACTAGAGTACAAGCCTTAGGAGGGCATGGCCCATTGCTGATCTTGGCATTGCTGGGTCCCAGCTGCTTAGCCTGACCTCTCACCAGAACAGACCCTTGATGGCCAGGTGTGGAATGAAAAAAGAAATGGTTCCACTGCTGACTGAGGCCTTGCCCGGGGCATTTATTTTCCGCAGCCTGAAGTTTCATCATTTATTTTATAAATGCTTCTGTCGTGCTTGCTTTGAAACAGACACTCTTCTGAGCATTTCACAAACTGTGATGGATTGATTCTTCATAACAACTCTTTAATTCAGTAGTCATCATCTCCATCATGCAGACAGGCACTAAGGCCAAGAGAAGTTAAAGAACTTACCCAACATCACAGAGGTAGGACCAGGATTCAAATTCAGTCAATCTTGACCCAAAGTCCACTATGCTATTGAGGGGTGAGATGGGCAGTTTTTCTATCTCTATTCCCTCCCTCTACTTATAACTGTTTAGCTAGAGAATCTGACATGAGAGACATTTTACCAGAATGATAAAATTAAATTCTACAGCAGTATATTTTAGCTCAACAGGAAACTTGTTTTGACCACAAAAATGATGTTTGTAAAGTACAATTTTAAGCAAATGTTAACATCAGTATTGTGATGATTTCATTGGATGAGTTGAAAATCAGCGGAAATGGTGCAAGCAATTGTGATATGCAACATGATGTAAATATGAGTGGAATTGCTAATTGTATCTTATTTTACTTAGTCATGCATTGGTGTCTGCCACCATTTGTTTATAGAATAATAGCATATTTCCAGGAATATTTGAAAATTTGCTGACAATATCCCTTATTTCCAAACCAAACAGATTTCTATTTATTGATTTATTCATTTTTCTGTTCTTTGCTAAAGCATATATTGAAGCATCTTAATAAATTAGAAATTTAAATATTCATTTTATGACCATGAGGGACCAGTTGGTGTGTTAGAAATTGAGGATTCTAGCAAGTCCAAAAATAAGTGCCCATCCCTAGAAGTTCACCTTAAAATCAGGAACTTATATATCTCTTTAAGAAACTGAAAGGCCAAACAGCATAATACTAACAGCAGTTATTTCTGGGCTGAAGAATCGTGTGATTTCTCATTGTTTTCTCCATTTTTTCAATAGAACAACTTTTAATTTTAGAAGTGAGATATTAGAAAGTATATATTTAATATTATTTATCTGAGAAATTTAGTAATCTAGCAAGGTCCTGTGTTGGACATTTATTTACACATCCTTTTAAAAAATAATTTGTTATTTATTGGGTACCCACCCCTTTCCCAAGGTGTGACACTTACATGTCTACTATATGTATGCATGAGAGAGAGAAAGAGAGAGGAAAAAGAATTTGTAATTATTATTGTCCAAACACACTAATGTTTTCCGAAGCATTTTAAATGAATTTACTATTTCAATCTTCACAACAGTGCTGTCAGGCATGTTGTACGATGATAAACATTTTGCAAATAAGAAAGGTCAGGCACCAGAAGAGGAAGTAATTTGCCCAAGGGCAGGTAATAGGTAAATCGCAGAGCTGGGGTATTCAAACTGCAGCCCAGCTCCAGCCTGCACCACAACCATGGCCGAGTCTAGTTCATGTGCTCCTGAGGTGAAAACAGTCATCCATCAATATTAATTGGTAAGTGGGAAAATGCTGTCCTACAATATGGAAGCCTCAGTGTCTCCTATGCGACTTTCTTTTCCCCTTATATGCAAAGGGGGATCTGAATAGCAGGAGTAAGAATGAGACCTTTCAGGAGCAAAGGGGAGGGGAGCCTCCGTTTGACTGCTGAACCAGCAGCAGGGTGCTTCAACCATGTTTTATGGACATGCAGAAGAACCAGCTGCATCCAGGGCTTCCTCTCAGGCCTTTGCTACTGTGTCCAACTCTCTCACCTGTGCCAGGTGGTGCTTCCTCCTGTGCCCACCTTAGGGGCAGCACCCTCAGCACAGGATTCAGGTCCTTTCCCCTCCTCAGCACTGCAGGGCCGCCTCACAGCCCGCCAATGCTTCTGTGCTCCCGACCTGCCATCAGCATAGGGCCGCCCAGGGCCGCCTGACTGTGCCAGCCGTGGGTCACCCCAGGGGCATGTGACTGCTTCCTGGTGCTTTGCTCACAGAGTTGTACGGACTTGAAAAACCTGCCATCTGCACTGTGTTTCCCATCCATCCCAGTATTTCTAATGGTGAGTTTTGCAAAAAACCAGTTTTTCCGGGAGCACCTACACAGTATCGGCCTGACCATGCACTGCTATCCAGGAACAAGAAAGAATGGTGATTGAACAAATAGAACAGGTGGAAAGATGTTGAGACTTAAGTTGTCAAAAATAATCTCCTTCTGGATAAATCCCGAGAAGGGAGGATGGTGGAGGCTGGGGGTTACGGGATGGGGAGATGGGGACTTGCTTTCAACAGTAGGAAGTGTCAGTACAGAAGATGAACGCGTGCTTGCGATGTGCTATAGGACGTTGTGCTTAATTTTGCTTATAGCTAACAATCCTGTACCTACAATTTGGTTTAGAGGCTAGATCTCTTGCCATGTATTTTTAACCACAGTTTTATTTATTTATTTATTTTTTGGTAATGGCTCACGGTATAGTATTCCCAGGCGAGCTAGGGCAAGAAAGTCGCTCCATAAGTGTTCATGCTAGAAAAACCTCTTATAAAATCATTTGTTATCTTTAATTCCTAAAGTTTATTTAGATCTCTATTCATACTGTTCTTATAATTCAGTATCACCAACACCCAGCTCCTTGAACCTAGCCAAAAACTATTAGCTTGTTCTCAAACATTGTTGACTCTGAGAATATATAGCATTTTTTAAATTACACTTTAAGTTCTAGGGTACATGTGCACAACGTGCAGGTTTGTTACATAGGATTACATGTGCCATGTTGGTTTGCTGCGCCCATCAACTCATCATTTACCTTAGGTATTTCTCCTCATGCTATCCCTCCCCCAGCCTCCTTTTTAAAAAGCACTTGATTTTATTAGATTATCTATACATGTTATGCGTCATTACTGCTGTCCTGAATTCAGGGTTGTTGAACAGCCTATTTATAGTCTATTTTTTAGTTTATCGTGATTATTCAGGTTAAAGATTGACTTGCCGGAGTTCCCTTTTTGAACATTTTCCTATAGGGCCACAGTATCATACAAGTATGGTTAGCATGGAAATATATAAGCAAGTCAATGAGTATCATTAAACAAAGCAAGCACAAAACTAACATCCTGGTGACTGACATAGATTCTGTCCTATGCCGCACCGTGAATTTGCTTTTCATGTGACATGAACTTCTTTGACTTCGTTTGTTTTCTCTTTTAAATGAGAAAAAAAGAAATTATATGACCCCTACATTCTTCATGGCTCTCAAATTTTATTGTTTATTTTATCAAACTCTCCTTCCAAGTATTAAGTGGACAGAATAATAATAGAGAGATACTCTTAAATTATCCCTTAAAAAATCAAAATGTCTTTCAGTATCATCATCCCTTCTCTTACCACATACTCCTTTTTTAATGGAGTTGGCATGTGAGATTATAGTTCTTATTAAATGGGTCTACCAAAATTAGAAAATGAATTTAAGTGAAAAAAAATAGCGGGAAAATGCCATTGAACAAATGAATCTAGGAAGTATAGAGAGCAAAATCATAAAAAGTCATAACTTTTTTAAAAGGAAACATTTATTCAGCATTTCTAAGCCCTCTGTTGTCTCTATCAGATTGTCAGGGGCAATATTGGCCCCCTCACATGGGGACACCCTAGAACCTCCGTAGGCTGGAGTCCAGGATGGAAACCTAGGCACCTGCCATTCACATCACAGGGACAATCATCAACTATAGGGTTTCTTGATGGTATGTGAGACTGTGGGACAGAGTACACTGATAATTGGAGAGTTCTTTTCAAAAGCGAGTAGCAGTGTGTAAGCAGATAGACCATATATCCATGTCCACAATCGCACACCTAACTCAGGGGCACCACGTGGTGCAACTATCAGCAGCTCCCTTAACCCGTATTCTCTGAGAGGAAACCCCCCAGACTGTGCTGCTCCCAGTCCACCTGGCCTCACAGCACAAGCTTGCATTAACTCTATAGAATGCGCTTGACCTGACCCTAGACTCCGTGTTCAATGAGTAAAGAATGAAAAGAACAAAGACATGTATGAATATTGTATATTCATACCATATTCTCTCGGCATGTACTCTGTGGTAGTGCACATTCTGATTCACAAAATTGAACAGGTGCAATTTTTTAAATTTTGCTCCAATTATCACTTTGTACTGTGAGTTAAATAATCACCAATCTTTGTCTTGTTTGGACAACCTTGATCATGAACTCCAAAGCTGAAGGTGTTTTTGGCTTCTTGAAACAGTTTGCAGTGCCATGATCATAACAGGCTTTCAACTATTTGCTGCTTTACTTTGCTTAGATTTCAGTTTCCCCTACGAAATACTTTATTCCAAGGAGTCACACAAAATGTCACAGATATTTTCAGATCATGAAGACAGATATCTTTAGAGCTTTATTTTTACATTTAGAAAGCCATGGTCTTACCTAAATTCTCCAGTGTTACCTAAACCCCTTCCACACTCTGCAAATCTCAAAATATCCAATAAGCAGAGAAAATTATTGAGGAAATTGTTCTATGGCAAAGCACTAGGGCCAGCTGATTGAATTACTTTCTTTTAGATGAATCTGTGTATAAGAATGTCACCCAAGAGATTAAATGGGCTTTATGTGGAAAGCATCTGTGCATTTCTCACCAGGCTGGGCTCTTTCTGCCGACAACTGAAGCGGTTTGCACAGGTGAGGGGCTTGATTACAACCCCAGGAGCTGGGAGCAGGCCCAGTTTGATGACAGTTGTAGTGAATTATTAGATGCACTTTAGTATTTGTGAATTTGAAAATAGTAGTTTGTTGAAGCTCATTACCCATCCAATTCAGTAGTACCACAAAAATTGACTTGATGGAATGGTTACTGATACTCGATTCAGGATGTAATTTTGAACCATTAAAGTTGTGAAATCCACTCTTACTAGTGAGTCAGCAGTGTTGATAATGTGTGCTGAAAAGGCGATAATTAAGGACCAGGCCGCCTCTTGATTGTTTGCAATGCTTCCAAATTCTATTCTAACGAACAACTGTTATTTCAGTTGACTCATTTGCGGAATACGAACTAATTGCTCAGCCTCTTCTGTAGTATTTCTGAGCATGGAAGAACCAGACAATGCTGATTTGATTAATGCCAGTGTACTTACAGAGGGAGATAAAGGATGCTTTTAACTTTTAACCTGTCATATTGGATTTGTGCATACTATGTTTCACCCCGATGGCACAGGTTTATATCAGCGCAAGCCTTCTAATGCAACACCGACTGGTACAGTAAAAGGATTTTAAAGAATTTTAAAGAATGTTTCTCACAAAAGTAGAAGTAGAGTGTGAATACCAGGAACATGTTTGTATTTAGGAAAAGGAGCTTGGAAGTTCACATTCTTTTGGTTGATTTAAGCTTTCTTAGTTTTCAGCAATTTAAAGGTTAAGACAAGCAGTGGATCTGGGAGACAGGCCATGAGAGAAAAAAATAAATGAAACTAAATTTTCAAAATATTCAAGAACACCTTAAACAACTATTTTTCCTGTCCCTATTAAATATGTCTCAGCTCAATATTTCTGGATGTTAATCTTCTGGAAGGAGCATGAGGACCTGGGATCTCTTTCAAATAACTTAAATATAATTTTATGTTCTGCAGATATAAAATATGCGCTAGATAGTGTTGTATCTGGTTTTCTATATTTTAAATGTCATATCATTGCATAAATGTAACCTAAAATATTAACGCTGTCATTATCCATATTTTATTAAAATACCCGGTTATTCAGCAGCATAATTGCTTTTGGATATTTGAGCATAATTCACTGCTAATTTGCATGGCTCATTTAGCAGAGTAATTTTCCATCACATATTTGATGAAATCAGTGAATACTATAAAAGGATTGTTTTAAGATGTCTAAAATTTTAAAATGACAACTTAAACGATCTTTCTTGATGCTCCTACGTAGTGCTCATCGATTACAGGGTTTCTGAAGCCCCTTCTTCATCTTGGGTCATTACAATTTGTAGCTACAGTACTACTTTAAAATTATGAAATCTCTAAAAATCAATAGAAAAGTTCAAGCCTAGTTTCATAAAAGCTCAAGCAAACAGATAATACCCTTGCTAGTCCTCACCTTCTAGAAGGCATACAGTGAGTTCTGTCTTATTCACCCTCTCAAATACTGCACATACACACACACACACACACACACACACACACACACAAGTATGCACGCATAGTGAAAATATTTTATTTATCTGAAAAATAGACATTAGGAGTCTTTTAACCTACATTCCATTTAGAGGAGAACAGGAATGGTAATTTGTTATGAAAACGTTGATCATGCAAATATTCTGGTGTCTCTGAGCTGATCTGAGCCTAGAAAAAGTGCTGCAAATGAAAAGAACACAAGCCAAGGCTGATTGTCCTCCCAGAAACAGCATTTTTGAGAGATTGTTGTTGATCCGGGAACTCCTGTCCTACTTTTTGTCCAAATGCCTGCAAGCAGCATGTTTTCTCAACTGAGTATTCAATGAGGAATAATAAACTTGTACAGCAGTCAGGAGAAAAGTGTTCGGAGCATGAAACAAGGCTCCATGATACCCAATCACAAGCAATTATTTGTAACCTGATTTCCAAAGGCCCTGCAGAAAGGAAGCGGTGCTCGGAAGATGATCTTTGGCCAGCTCTGAAACTGCAGGAAGCTCTGGTCCAGAAACAACCTGGAGAAAGGTTGGAGGCAGGAAGGAGAGGTGCAGAACAGAGACAGGAGAGGGCACTGATGCTCTTTTCTGCTAGAGAATCTCAGAAAATAAACCCCAGGCAAGAGCGTGCACAGGCACACGGGCAGCGTTCTTGTAGAAGGTAGGGATGGGGGCAATGGGACTACCGTAAGACAGGAACCCTTGTAAGGCGAGGGCACCTTGGGATGGCTGGAAGTGGAAAGAGATCATTTAAGTGTTGAATCTTTTTATTTATTTGTTTCTGCCCCCGGTCTTCTTACCGAAATGATTCCAGACAGCTGGTGATTACACAGGTTTCCCTAATTGGGGAAAATGTAACAGGAGAAAGATACCCTTTTAAATGGTAAACTACTGACAGGCAAATAGAATGTGATAGCAAATGTCAGAGCAGAAAATAGTCAGTTCCACAGACCTCTAAAGGACAAACGGCCAGGATCCCGTCCCTGCCCCCTGCTGACGCCTCTAATCTATCCTGACACATTTTTCCACTGACTCCAAACTGAGTCTCAAAGTCTTTCTCAAGATAATGCTCTGGGCCAGCAGCTCTCAAACTCCAGTTTCCCCTGGAGGGACGTGGACAGCCTGTTAAGCACAGACAGCCAGACAGCCAGAGTTTCTTAGGCTGCAGGTCTGGAGTGGGTACTGAGACTCTGCACTTCAAGGAGGCTGCAGGTCTGGAGTGGGAACTGAGACTCTGCCCTTCAAGGAGGCTGCGGGTCTGGAGTGGGAACTGAGACTCTGCGCTTCAAGGAGACTGCGGGTCTGGAGTGGGAACTGAGACTCTGCACTTCAAGGAGGCTGCGGGTCTGGAGTGGGAACTGAGACTCTGCGCTTCAAGGAGGCTGTGGGTCTGGAGTGGGAACTGAGACTCTGCACTTCAAGGAGGCTGCAGGTCTGGAGTGTGGCCTGAGACTCTGCATCTGAAGGAGGCCGCAGGTCTGGCGTGGGTCCTGAGACTCTGCACTTCAAGGAGGCTCCTTGGAGGAGTTCTTGTTGCTGGTTGGGATGCTGGTGGGGGAGGCATCTCATTCTGAGACTGCTTCCGTATGGCAGCTTGTCTCCTGTGGACTAGAGGGAGCCTGGAGGAGAAAGCCCTCCGTCCTGTAGGATTTTATGGTGCTCAGAGCATCCTCAGCCCATCATCTCTTAGAGTAGCAGGACACCAGAATGAGCACTGCTCCCTTTGAAGCCTGCCTGAGGCCTGACAGGATGCCCCAGGTGCAAGAGCAGTGGAGGGGGCCATGCAAGTATCCTGCAGCAGTTAGCTCATCTGGAGGCACTGCTGTCTGGAGCACTGTGTGAGTAGGATTATCAGTCATTTGTCCAACAAATATTTACTGACTGTGGACTGTGCACCAAGCAGAAATCAAGCAGACAAACCCCTGCCCTTAAGGAGCTCATGTTCTATAGGAGAAGGCAGATTTTAAACATAATATAACAAGTAACAGACACACATACATATATATATGATGTGTGTGTGTGTGTGTGTGTGTGTGTGTGTGTGTGTGTAGGTATAGATAGCTAATATAGACAGATGATAGATAGATAGTAGGAAGCATGATAGATGTAAACAGATATAGACAGATTTCCATTGTCTTTAAATCCTCCAGCATTTAAGGTCAGATGTGGGGGGTCATGCATGTAATCCCAGCACTATGGGAGGCCCAGGTAGGAGAATCACTTGAGATCAAGAGTTGAGACCAGGCTGGGCAACATGGTGAGACCCCGTCTCTGCAAAAAATACAAAGTTATATCTATCAGCTATCTTTGTCTGTATCTGTCATTCTATGTATGATCTGTCATCTGTATATATATATATATATCTCGTCTATATGTCACTATCTATCACTGCTCATCTATCATCTCTGTATCTTTTTTCTGCCTATCTTTATCTGTCATCTACCTAATGTATCTATCATCTCTCCAGGTAGCCATCTGTATGAAATCAGGTAATGGCAAGTGCCTTGGTGGGAAGGAGGGAAAGAAGGAGGTGGTGATGGCTGGATATGGAGTCTACAATGTCAATGAGATTTAACAAAAGTCCCGTAGGAAGAAGGTGAGTCACCTTTGAGAATATCTGGCATTCTATGCAGAGGGCACAGCAAGTTCCAAGGCCCCAGGGTGTTTAAGAGAGAGCAGGAAATGTGTGTGTGGCCACAGCTAGGTGTGTGAGTAGAATGTGGCCAGACAGGAGATTAGAGAAGGACAGGAGTGAGAAGGTGTCAGCCCTTGCAGCGCCTCTTTAGAGTCTGGCTTTACTCTCAGTGAGACAGGTGACCCCTGGAGAGTGTCGCTTCAAGGTGCAATGTGATCTAATTTGGGTTGTATGTGACCCCTCTGGACAGTGTTCTGAGAATAGAATGGAGCAGGGAGGATAGAAGCAGGGAGGCTGTGACCTCCATCCGGATGAGCACAGGGCACCCTCCGGTGCTGAGATGGTCAGACATGGATCTGTTCTGAAGGTAGGATCCGTATGATGTGCAGATGAGCAGAGTGTGTGCAGGTAAGAAGAAGGAAGGAAGGATGGGGGAGGATGGGGAAAGAGTAGATTTGTATGGACAAGGTAGGTGTATGGGTTCTGAGGTGGCTCCAGCACATGGAATAGAGAGTCAAGGGGAAATTTGGATCAGGGTCTGAAGCTCTGAGGAGGAAGCCTGGGCTGATGACATGAATTTGGCATCATCAGCATATAGGTGGCATTCACATCCATGAGACTGGAGGAGCTCATTGAGAAGCCACATGTGGCGCAAGGGAGAGAGGTCTCAGGACCCATCCTAGGTCAGTAACAACCCTGCGCGTTGGCGGAAAGCAATGGACCCCATGATGACATCAGCACCCAGCAATGCTTCGTGGACCTTTTGTAGATTAAGGCAGTAAAACAAGTTTATAGTTCATATCATTTGAACTGTGTGTTTGCGTGCATCATTTAGGAACTAGAACTTATTTCAGTGACTGTGTTGGGCTCTCTCCCCGACAATCTATGACTTTTACTGAACAGGAGCACATGAGTCCCAACAATTTACGAACTTTACTGACAAGAGCACATGAGTCCACACTGGAGATCATTTGAAGTTGCGCTCTTGTAAAAGTTCTCCCTGCTTTTAATATTAGGATCCTATTGGAAATGTTATTCATAACTTCACCCCGTGTCCTTTTCATGAGTATCATTGATAAATGATTGTTTTTGCCCCCTCCCCAAAGTACTTGTTTTTAATTGCTGTGTAATTTGAGTCAGGTACCTGGGCCTGTTACCTGCTATGCTGTGTCTGCTAGATGGTTCAGAGGTGAAGGCGTAGGATACATTGCCTGCATAACTTCACTCCTGGATTCATCTTCTGTTCACTTATTTTTCACTGTCTTTAAATCTTCCAATGTTTAACATACAATTCATTTCTAACTTGTTTTGCAAAGTTTTATCTAAACCTTTCAAAATTCTTTTTTGGACTTAAGTTTGGTATAAATAAAGAAATACAGTAGTTCCTCCTTATCTGCAGTTTCAGTTACCTACGGTCAACAGCAGTCTAAAAACATTAAATAGAAAATTCCAGAAACAAACAATTCGTAAGTTTTAAATTGTATGCTATTCTGAGTAACATGATGAAATCTCCTGTATCCTGCTTGGTCCTGCCGGGAGTGGGAATCGCCCCTGTGTCCAGTGCATTGCTGTGTATATGCTACCTGTTTCCCGTCTCGCTGGTCAGTCAGTAGCCTTCTTGGTTACCATATTGAAAAGACATTGTGTACATATGGGCTCAGCACTCTGTGTGGTTTCAGGCATCCACTGGTAGTCTTGGAATGTATCCCTTGAGAATGACGGGGCAGCACAGTCATGGCTTAAAAACGGACACTGTGTCATCCATATTGTACTCATTAGAATAGTAAATAGAAATCCTTTCACCAAAATTTGAGAGCAGAAATCGTGAAGTTATTCCTTTGCACTTAGCATTAGTCAAACTGATTTTTTCACTGGTCTCCAGCTAGGTTGTCCACAGTTCAACAAAGATAGTGAGAATTTGAAACAGGTTCCCAACTGAAGATTAACAGAGAAAAGCAGGAAGACATGACGTTCTGTCCACTAAGGAGGGGAATGAAAGATTAATACCAATTCATGTATTCAGCATCTTTCTATTTATTTATTTAACCGTCTCTCTGTCCTATGAGCCAGGCAACAAAGCACACATTAGGCAGCATGGAGATATCATGGTGGAAAGCAGGCTGACGGCATCTTTGAAAAACTTGTGTTTTGCATCCCGGGGAGATGACAGACATCCAAACAACCGCCATATGATAACACCTCAGGCACTGTGTACTCTACTGAAACCCAGATGCTCTGGGAACACATTGGAATTCAATTCTGATTGCAGCAATCTGTAAGAATTTACAGAGCAAGTGGCATTTGAGCCAAAAGTTGTTGGATAAGAGAAAATTATAAGGTTGAAGGGTCAGGCGGTGCAGGTCACAAAAGGCTTTAGATAACACTTTGTGCAGCGTAAATTTATGCTCAAACCTAAGAGGGAATGGGTTGCGGACATATTTAGACAAGAAGCTGCATGACTCAGCCTGTATTTTAGGAAAATAGCAAAAGCCCAAGAATGAAAGATAGGTAGGATAGCGCAGCAACTGTGTAAGTAAAAGAATTAAGAGCAAATAGATGCAGGGTTAATCCAGGCACAGGCTCCTGTTAGCTGTGCAATGTCATGCAAATTACTCAACCTCACAGGTCCCCAGTTTGTTTATTGGTTTGCATTTTCCTCAGCAACATAGTAATGATCAAAATAAATACAATGTGGGGGAAAGTGAGTGAAAACGACTTGTTGAAGCATGTAGATGGGCCTGCCACTTGAATGATATTTATTCTGGATATTTATTCTGGGTTAGTGTCACCGCCCATCATGCTTGCCCTCCTCATCATCAATTTGAAGGTGGGAACTCAATTAAGATGCTGTTGCTGTAAGTCAGCAAATAGAGAATAAGGCCAAAATTGAATAAAACTGCCAAATAGTTTACACTGGACTTACTTTGTCTTCACTAAATACCTATTATAGGACGGGTGTGGTGGCTCATGCCTGTAATTTCAGCAGTTTGGGAGGCCAAGGTGGGAGGATCACTTGAGTCCAGGAGTTCAAGACCAGCCTGGGAAACACGGTGAGACCCAATCTCTACAAAAAATACAATAATTAGCCAGGCATAGTGGTGCATGACTGTCGTCCCAGCTACTCTGGAGGCTGAGGTGGGAGAACCACTTGAGCCTTCACTGTAGTCGAGGCTACAGTGAGCTGAGAGTGCACCACTGCACTCCAGCCTGGGTGACAGGGCAAGACCCCATCCTACCAGCTCTCCCCAAACCTATTATATCCCCAAATTATGCATGGAGAATCTAAAACACAAGCTAGTTTCACACTTTGGTGACAGATTATGTGAGTACATGCCATCGTCTAAATGTCAGTGTCCCCCTAGAGTTCATGTTGAAATCCTAATGCTATTAGAAGGTGGAGACTTGGCGAAGAGATGAGGTTGTGAGGACAGAGCCCTCGTGAGTGTGATTAGTGTCCTTATAGAAGAGGCCCCAGAGAGCTCCCTTCTTCCCTTCTGTCATGGGAAGGTACAGGGAGGAGGTCCTGCCTCTGAATCAGGAATCCAGTCCTTCCCAGAAGTGGGATCCACTGGCACCTTGATAGTGAACCTCCAGACCCCAGAACTGTGAGCCATAAACATGTCTTTTATCAGCCCTCATCTGTGATATTTTCATTGTCACCCTGAATGCACTAAGGATGTGGTGCAGAGGAGGGGGTTGGGAGGTGCTGTAAGATGGCTTAAACACAGACTTCCAGTTGGCTGTCATGGTGCTTTATAGACCAGACATTCGTTCAATATTTGCTGAATGAAGGTATGTTTGATATGTGTGTGTATATATATATATGTGTGTGTGTATATATTTGTATATATATGTATATATGTATATATAAATGTATGTATATATGTATATATGTATATAAATATATGTGTATATATGTATATAAATATATGTGTATATATGTATATAAATATATGTGTATATATGTATATATATGTATATATGTATATATGTGTATATATGTATATATGTGTATATATGTATATATGTGTATATATGTATATATGTGTATATATGTATATATATGTGTATATATGTATATATATGTGTATATATAAATGTATGTATATATGTGTATATATAAATATATGTATATATGTGTATATATAAATATATGAATATATGTATATATGTATATATAAATATATGTATATATGTATGTCTAAATATATGTACATATGTATGTCTAAATATATGTACATATGTATGTCTAAATATATGTACATATGTATGTCTAAATATATGTATATATCTATATATAAATATGTGTGTGTATTATATGTGTGTGTGTGTGTGTGTGTGTGTGTATATATATATATATATATATATGTTGCCCTTTCTGAGAATTCAAGGAGAAAAGGAGGTGTTCATTTACAGTTTAGAGCACTCACACAAAATCACCCTAATATCAACCGCCTGGATTGGTAGCATAATGGCAGACTCAGATGCTCGCACTAGAAGCTCCTCTTTAGATCCATTTCAAAGGAGGGTATGGATTCTCACCAGCCCAGAATTGGATAAATGCTGTAATTGCTGAATGCCAGTAGACATTACACGGCTTGTTGAGTTGCCTGTGGGCTATTTTTCTCCTGCTCATATCTGGGTCAGATCAGGACTGTGGCAGATTCAAAAGTGGGCAAAGCAAGGACAAGGAGTGAGAATGTATTGAACGGATCATTCTGCCTCATAGTAAAGGGTTCCCAGAGTTCTTTCCTGCAATGGAGAGAGCATGATGCTGTCATTTGAACACACACAGTCAATGTCATTGAATCTTGCGTTTTGTCTGCTTTTACCTCGAGGTCTTTAGGGGCCTCTCCGTTCTCTTCCTCCTGTGTTTTGCTTCCTGGGGGTGATTCAGCACTGGCTTCTGTCACCTTTCTCCAACTTGATGCTGCCTGACTCCCTGCCCCTGAGGCTCTCCAGGTCTCTAGGGCTGTGTTTCTGCAATGGTGATGCTATCCAGTCACCCAAATGAGCAGAAGCTCCAAACTGTTGTGTGTTCGAGAGCTTGAGAATTGGCCTGGCCCTGCTTGCCCCCCCACCAGCAACTGAGAGAAGAACTTGCTATCATCTGCAAAAAGCATTTTGAATGAAATCTCTCCTTTGTAAACTCTTTTTGCAGAGTGTGAAGCAATGCCGTCTGAATTTCTAAGCGTTCTTCTTTGTCTGTTATCCCTGAGAGTAAGCAAGGCTTCCAGAAGCACCAGCAGGTGCAGCCTCTGGACCTAACCTCAAAGCAAGAGTGGCTCACGGAGCCAAACACGATTTCAAAACCCCAAAGTAGCTGGCCCCAAAAAGAGTAGTCATCGTTTTTCCCCAAAGTGCACCAAGTCATAATTCCAGTGTGTTGAAATGTTTTATTTTTTGTTCACAATTTGGATACAGTTTTTCAAGATCCTGAGAATACAATACCCCCAAGACTATTGTCCACCACAGACATGCAAATGAAACACACACACGCACGCAGACACACACACAGACACACTGACAGAGAGAGAGAGAGAGAAACTGTCCAAATTAACATGCACTGGGCAATTTCTGCTTACCTCCTATTGAATTCGGAGATTCACCAAGCTATCTGAAAATGATTAATTTAATCCTGCAAAATGCTATGAGACTAAAAAATATGAGCTACAGGACCATTTGTTTTTCCTCCTTTATCTTTTCTTAGGTCAGCTGCTAAATATATAATGGTTGAGAGAGTATAAAGAAAAACTGCAATTAAGTATGGGTTTGGCGGGGAATGGAGTAGGCAATGGAAGGGAAAGAGAGCTACCATCATGGTTACAGTGACATGAAATTAGATCACAAGGTGTTGGGGCGACAGTCAGTCATGATGGGAAAAAGCACTAAAAACAATTTTCCTTTCAGACCCTTCTTCCCTTCATTTATGGCCGTTCTGCATGTGCGACAGGCCTCTTAATGTTCCTATTATGTTCTTTCTTTACTTTTTATTTATTTATTTTTTGAGATGGAGTCTCACTTTGTTGCCCAGGCTGGGGTGCAGTGGTGTGATCTTGGCTCACTGCAATCTCTGCCTCTTGGGTTCAAGAGAATCTTCTGCCTCAGCCTCTCGAGTAGCTGGAATTACAGGCACGCACCACCGTGCCTGGCTAATTTTTGTATTTTTAGTAGAGACGGGGTTTCACCACATAGGACAGGCTGGTCTTGAACTCCTGATCTTGTGATCCACCCCCGCCCTCGGCCTCCCAAAGTGTTGGGATTACAGGCATGAGACACTGTGCCCAGTTGCCTAGTATTTTCTTGCACCAAGGAAAGAAGCCATGTGTAGAAATGTTTCAAAATCATGGGAGAGGGACCTGTATGAGTGTGGCATAGGCCAGGGCTGCAGGTAGCCTTTAGTCTCCTGCTGGAGACAGCTGTGCCAATCGCTCTGATGGAAAGAAGGGAGTAATCTGGAAATAGAGACGCAAGCCTTCCCTGATCAGGAATCACAGCAAAGGTAGAAAATTGGCCGGATCTAAAAAAAGGAAGAAAAAGGCAGGTCACTGTATGAATTCACAGAGTGCCTTTCAAAGGCTTCTTCCCAAAGCCTATTTTTTGTAAAGAGCAATATTGCAATAGGCATTTCTCAAAAGTCCTGAAGAGCTACATCCCTTCTGACACATACGTTTTTCTTCTAGGAGTCCATCCTGTGAAATAAAAGTGCTGATTCAACACACATGCATCGTAAGGTGATGTGCTATAAAACTTATGAGACTGTGAGAAATAATACCAAATTGCCATAGCAGGACATTGGTTAAATAAGTAATGGTATGTTCACTCAATGGAATAGTTCACAGAATTCACACATCATATATATATAGATATACAAAGAGCTATAACATTCTCTTAATGGAAAAAAGTGGATTTTAAATGATGTATAAATAGATACTTCACTTTTATATCTGCGTGTACATATCTGTAAAGGAAAGCACATAGAAAACTAGGTGTATTTTTGTCACTAATTTTAATGATATTATATTTTTTCTTATTTTTTTATCCTCTATTTTCTCAACAACTGTGGAAGAAAAACAATGAGTTCAGCCTGTCACTTTACACTGGAATTGGATGTATCTGACATATTCTTTTGTGTCATTGAATGCTTTTTAACATAGTATTTAATGGATATTGTTATCTAATTTGGTACAACTTTCTTTTAACATATTTGCAATTTTTCTCAAAATGATTTTAACTAAAGACCACTATTTAGCTATAGTTTGTTACTGATATATATGGAAGAATCATGGTGATGATCAAATTGCCTTCGAGTGTTGTAGGTGTCACCAACATGTCTGTGAACATTAAAAGCTTGTAAAATCATGGCAAGGGGAAATTGTAAGTTTTCATCTTTTAATCAATTTAACTGTATAGTAACTAATAAGGAAAAGTCATCTCTTTAATTAGTTTGCTCAACTCTGACTTTTCCTGACTGACTTTCTAACCAAACACACCTGCCTGTCCAAAAGCAACTAACGCCCTCCCCAGGTGTGCTGTGGGCCTGCTGTGCGGGAATCCGCCAGGCCTTTCCTGTTCCATTCACCTTCCATCGGAACACAGCAGATTCTTGAAAAGCAGTGAGTGCTAAGTAGACCCTCCTTCAAAGAAGTGGTGCTCTAGGATGGACATTTCCTAGAGCCTGTGCATTTTTTCTTTTAGACTATCCACCAAGGAAGTAATGGATTAGCAAGTTACCAGCAAAACTTAGGACAAGCCTTACGATTTCTGAGAGTGTGTCAATAATGTGGGATACATCCGTTTGGTTTGCGTGTTAATAAAGAAATTACATAACTTTGCTAGACTGGCTGGAAAGGAGCAATAACACAACACTTAAAAGTTCTGAGCTTCTGGAGCAAGTGAAAATAAAATATGGTCAATTCCTGCTTCTATTTAATGTTACACTCTGTGTTGAACTTAAAGTACTCTTGTTTCTGTTTAGCAGTGTCTGAGCCATTTGGACTTTCTTATAAATTGTCTCATGCTATTTTATATTCTTGTTTATGGCATAAACTAGAAATTTTCAGAAAAAAATATGTTGGAAATATATTTTCTGGTTACAGTAATCAATTTAAAACATTTATAAACATGGATTGATCTAAAGGAATGTTACTCCTTAAAGGCTGGGTGTTTGGAATTTCCCAATCATATTGAAGATGAGCTTCCACAGTTAGGTTGGATTATTCACTGAGTGGGAAGGTGAACCAACCACCTAGCTCAATCATGATATTCACTTGGCCCGGGAATACGTCTCCGCCTTGTTGCCATTGGCCACTGTATGGTTGTCTATGCCAGGAACCACTCTTCCTAAAGATTCCCTTAATTTCTGGGCTTTAGTTCTCCTACCTTACTGTCCACCCCCTCTCTGCTATCTTTGAAGACACACATTTTGGCCTGTCTTTAAATATATGACTCTAAATCATATGGACCGTAGCTGTCTATACTCGGGGTCAAAGATTGATTCTGTTTTGTATACCTGGTGCATTCATGGAGTTTGGAACTGCAAAGACATATGAAATATTTAAAAGTTCAGCATCCCATGACGTGTAATGTTCACATCATTAATGTAAAGTGGAAAAAAGCTAAGAAGTTGGGAAACTTTTTAACTTTTTACCATGATATATAAATAAATAGACGTATTTATTTATCTGACCCACTGGGCATTTCCACCCGCAAGGCTGCAGTGCTGGTGGAAGCCCGTGTACGTGAGAAGATGAGAGCACTGTTCTCTGAGTGTCATTAATGTTTTATCATCTTAAGGTTCACTTCTCTTAACGCAAAGTATATGTAGACATACACTGTATAATATACATAATATATAGGTATTACTTGTATACCATATATCATATACAGTATGCATTGCGTGAATATATATGCAAGTGGATATAAAACATAGTTGAGAGATAGATCCACACACTCGTATTTGGATAAGGTCAGCAATCAGCTTTGGATGTTATGGGATAAAGTGAGGATCAGAGCATAATCTAAGCCTTAGTTAGGTTGGGGGAAGTAGAAAAAGATGCTTGAGAGAACAGCAGCAGCTTGCAGTCTGCAGTAGCACATATCGTTATTCACACAATGAACAATTCTGAGGTTTAGGAGGGCTGAGTAAAGGCCTGAGGTCACCCACATGGGAAAGGACATGGTTGTGTTTGGACCCAGGTCAGTATGACTCCACTGTCCGTGTTCGTAATGACCACACCATTGCAGAGTGTGCAGGTCGGGGAGAAAGGCGGCTGGTTTTCATAAAAGAGCCTGAGCTGCTCTTTGGCCTCAGTCCAGAGCCTGTGCATGGAATGAACTTGCTTTCTACGATGGCAGCGTGACCTAAGAAGCACAGCACAGACAGACCAGCTGGAGACACAGCAGCCTCAGCGGAACCCCACGGCTACTGTACTTGAGTGAGGTTTAAGTGGGTCTGCAGGAGGCAGGCAGTGATGCTGAAAAGCAGCTGAAGAGCTCCGGAGTTATGAGAGCTCATATGATCTCAGATGTTGAGGGCTGCTGGTCTTTTCGCCTGGGGACCCATATGATTGCATTAGCCGTGCTGCATCTGTTGCCGTCGGACTCGTTGGATATCTTACCAGCTGACTGAACAAGGTCTGCGTCAGTCTATCAAGTGATATAAGAAATTTGCTAGAAAAAAGAAAATGGTAGACTCATTTCAGGCTCTTGGAATGAGCTAGGATAAGACTTGTTCTTATCCCAAGATTAAGGAGAAAAATGTGTTTTTTAATGATATTCCTAAAGAATATGTATGCTAAAAATAATATCAAGAGAAAATTGTCAGTGAACCCAAAATAAATTGTTACCATGTTTTTTTTTTAAATTATTTTCTTTATTATCAGTCTTTGAGTATCGACTGTGCGTGGAATTTATTATAGAGATCTCTGTGTTTGGCGACACTGCCTTTTTTGATAGTCAAAATATGATATGGATATCCATTGCCAGTGCCGACTGCTCCCTGTTTCAAATGTCCAAGTATTATAGGAGGCAAAGGGTGTCTCCCTGTTTGTTTCTTCGTGTTGGCAAGCCTGAGAGGCCTGTCTTCACAGACAGTAGTAACCCAGGTACCAGGACATTGGATACAGCCAAGGGTTAGAAACAGGCACTTGGAGGTTTCGTTTTCCAGGTCACTGACTTGGATCCAGATTAGCTTGTTGCAACCAAGATTTTTAATACCAGTGTGATCTGCGTCACCCGTGGAGGGTCCTCCCACATTGAAAGGCCTGTGAGGAGATTTCCAGGTGGGGCATGACAGCTCTCTCATCCGGCAGAAGAAAGCGCACCACTGTGCTGGCCTCATTCCTCTGTCCCTTCCGTGGACAGGAGGCCCAAAGTACACACCCACAGAGAAATGCCATCAGGGCCACTGTCTCTCGACTGTCTTATCGAATTACTTGTCTGTCTGAGCCATTTCCCAGGCTTGAGTTCTGAGCAATTCCCTGGCACGTAGTCCTTAAGCTTAAGAAGATGGGCTTTGTCACATCCTCTCCCAAATGATCCTCTCTGCCTGACCTCTGGGTTAATTCCTGATGCCTGATTTGCTGGCATCCAGGCCATTTTTACAGCCTTCTCTCAAGTCTGTCATGTTTGAGATGGACTCTCATACCCTATCTCTCACAAGTGCTGTCATCCTCCTCTTTCTCCTTCCTCAATGGTGAAGGTGTGTCCCCACTGGATTCCTGAGACCTGTCTCCACCCGTAGGACTCTGGAGCTATGCTGGGGCAAACAAAAGGAGGATGCCAGATCTCACCCCCTGGGCGCCCCCACCTGCAAGGCTGCAGTGCTGATGGGAAGCCACTGGGCATGAGAGGACAAGAGCAGCATTCTCTTACTGTTCTTAATGCTTTATCATCTTAGGGTTCACTTCTCTTAATAACTTACATTAGGAGCAAAAATAAAAGTAAAGAAACCATTTAGAATTGACTTGTTAAGGCTTTAGTGCATACAGAATACTACAAAGAAGAGGAAGATGTCTGAGTTAGCACCAATGCCCTCAGTGGGCTCAGAGTGCAGAGGTGAGGTAGACCTCTACACAACCATTAATAATGTAAGACACACAGTAACTTCCAGGGAAGCCTATGAAACAAATGCTGTAAAGGTAGGAGTGGTTAAGTCTATTAAAGACAAGGAGAGAAAGGTCTCTGGAAGGGATGTCTTCTGAAAAACCTTGGAAATTTGGGAAGGATTTACACAGGCAAAAGTGAGTCCGTGGGGCTAGCATAGATTGACTGCACAGGATCAAGGGCGAAAGCAGGAGCACAGCAGACAGTCGAGGGAGTGATCGCCACCACATGGGCAGAACACAAGGTTCACGAAAGGGCGTGATAAGAAATGAGGCTAGAAACAAATCGATTCATATTATAAAGGGTCTTCAGTACTAAGACAGTTGACCTCTTTTTAAGGGTGTTTGAAAGCTATGAAAAATATTTTTAGAAAAAAGGGCAGTGCAGCCAGGAATGGTGGGTCATGCCTGTAATCCCAGAACTTTGGGAGGCCGAAGTGGGCAGATCACCTGAGGTCAGGAGTTCGAGACCAGCCTGGTCAACATGTGAAACCCTGTCTCTACTAAAAATACGAAAATGAGCTGGGTGTGGTGGCAGTCACCTTAATCCCAACTACTTGGGAGGCTGAGGCATGAGAATCCCTTGAACCCAGGCAGCAGAGGTTTCACTGAGCCAAGATGGTGCCCCTGCACTCCAGCCTAGGCAACAGAGTGAGAATGTCTCTCAAAATAAAAAAAAAAAAAAAAAAAAGAAAGAGAAAAGGGCAGTGCTGTGATTTAGCTTCCCCATGAATTTTCAGGTGATTACTGCTCTAGATAATGAACTCCCCAGCCCCTGTCTAGCCAGACACATGGTAAGTCACAATGTGGATATCACATCTCCAAGGAAACTGCCATCCAAGAGAAGTTTAAATCCTCTCTTGCAGACACTCACAGCAACCTGTACTCCCCACCTGGTGATGTCTCAGGTGTGACATCCGTCACCCAGGGCTACTCTGCTCTCAAAGATTGTGGGTGCCTCTACTCACTCACACGCATGTCTTCAGGGCCCAGTAAGGTGTCTCACACTCATACGTTGTTTATATATGTTTGATTATGTTTGTGGTATTTCATATCAGAGTTATGTAATGTGGTTTAGAGCAGAGAGGGGCAGGGAGCACAAGTACACTCAGGAGAGTTTCCCTACAGCACAAGGAGAGACACCAGGGTTTGGACGGGAACACAGGCAGTGTGTAGCTGGAAGAGAAGCGAGAAGCGTACTTTGCAGGTGGAACACATGTGACTTAGTGACCTAATGCGTACGGTGCAAATCTAAATGGAGGAGGGGTCCCTGGAGTGAGAGAGTGCTGTGCACTCCCTGAGCCCTGCTTTGGTCGCCTCTAGTCATGTCTTTTTGAGTGCAACCAGAAATATACATCTGAGAGCCTGTGGCCTCCAGAAATCCTGAAACAAGGGGTGGCTGTGTGCCAAACACCTGCTGAGGAGCTTCATGACAAACAGACAGATGTGGGGAGTGGGAATTGAGGACGTTTCTAGGGCAAGTGAGTTATGGGATCTTTTGATTCCCATAGAGGTTATTAAGATAAGGAGATAAGGCATCTCCAGTCAGGGGTGCTGAGGTCTAAGGCTTTGGAGGAAATCATTCCATGTGAATAGTGTCCTCAGGATTATGTGTGCATGCAGGGACCTGGGTCCTCTGAGAATATGGAGCCCTGGTCATTGTCCTACCACCATTTATCTCCTCACTTATCTAGTTTCTGTACAAAGGTACAGGGTTTATCCAACTATGACACTGTTTAGCCACAAAGGCACTTGTGTCAGTGTGTTTTGCAGTGCTATATAGGAATACTTGAGACTGGGTAATTTATTTTTAAAACAGAGGTTTATTTGGCTCAGAATTCCACAGGCTGTACCAAACGGGGCTAGCACCTGCTTGGCTTCTGGTAAGGGCCTGAAGAAATTTTTATTCACAGTAGAAGGTAGAGTGGGCACAGGTATATCACAGGGTGAGAAGGGGAGCAAAGGAGAGGAGAGGGGGGAGTGCTAGGCTCTTTTAAACAACCAGCTCTGGAGTAAACTAAGAGTGAGAACTTACTCATTACCATGGGGAAGGCACCAGCCATTCATTCATGAGGGTTCTGCCCCCATGACACCAACACCTCCCACAGGGCCCCACCTCCAATACCGGCAATCATATGTCAACATGAGATTTGGAGGAGACAAAATATCCGAAGTATAAGCACCCTAGCTGGCATCATAACATCGAGGGTTTCATATAGTCATTTCTACTTTATGATGTGGGACTGGCCTAGGGCTCTGGGAGTGTGGGTGAAGAGACCTCTTTGGCTTATTCAGCCAATGTGCATTGAGTGCCTACCACATGCCCAGCACTCTGTTACGTGCCAGAGAGACCGTGAGAATAGGACAGGCTTCAATCTCGCAAAAATGACTAACATTAAGCAAATAACTATACAAATCACCAAGTGTCCGGTTCAAGACTACACCAAATGTCATGGTGAGATCTGAAGAGAGTTGGGGGATGAGCAGAAAGAACACTCTGTGGGGCGTAGGCAGGTGAAAGTTGATTTTATTCAGTAGCAGCTCTCATCAGCAGCTTCCTCACACTGTCCACCGTGTCTCGGCTGCTTACTCTGGCAGCTGCCTTACACACGGCTGCGTGGGTGGCTCTCCCTTGCCTTCAGGGTCAGCAGCTTAACTCTTTCTCTCTCTGGGAATAAACCAAGCCGAGCTGTGGCCTGGCTCCCCCCGACCATCTTTGCAGACGGACAGCTTTGGCTCTCTCTCTTTCTCTGGGCACCAGTGTGCCTGTACGGCGTCAGCAGGGCGATTATACCTTCCACAGACAAGAGCGGCTTAGGGCCAAGTCATGGGCTTCCCATGTTATGGCTACATGGCTGTGATACCAAATGGAGTTACACGCCTGTGCTACAGACTCGCTGAGTCACAGAGGATATAAACATCCTACCTCAGCCTATCTGACCAAAGCACAGCCATGTGCCTTATACCAAGTCATTACTATTTTGAAAATGTCTGCAAAGGGTAAGTCTGGCGTGTCAGGAGAGGGCATAGCCAAGGAGGAGCTGCCTGATCTTAGAGATCAGGGCAGGCTTCCCTGAGACTGCAACACATGATCTGAAATTTAAAGGAGAGCCAGAAACGACCAGGCAGGTGCAGAGTAGGTGGGATGCAGGGCAGATATTTCTGCTGATCTCCAGGTAAGGGACAGCGCATGGGATGATCTGAGTCAGGAGGGCACATGGGGCTTTGCATGGCGCCCTGCATGAAGTCAGCTGTTTCTGGGTGTAGAAAGCAGGGGATGGGGGCGATGTGCACCTGAAGAGGCTGGAAAGCAGAATGAGCCAAGCTGGAGTGAGTGGGAGGGCTCAGGAGACTAGAAATTATTTTTTCATTTAAAAAATTGACTATAGGAGGGCACAAGGAAAAAGCTAAAGGCCGTGGCTAGAGTCGCAGGAGTGGATGATGTCACCAAGAGGGATGCTTATGGCCACTGGTGTGGAGCATGATGGTGCCTCAGAGAGTGCTCCCAGAAAAAAGAGAGCCAGAGGGAGAAAAATCATTGTCAGGGAGAGAGAAGGCCTTTGCCAGAGACAATCATGAGTGCCGCTCCGGGTGGAAGAAATGACTTGTAGAAAGTGGTAATTTTGGCTGGGCATTGTTGCTCAAGCCTGTAATCCTAGCACTTTAGGAGGCCTAAGCAGATGGATCACCTGAGATCAGAAGTTCGAGACCAGCCTGGCCAACATGGTGAAACCTCATCTCTACTAAAAATACAAAAATTAGCCAGGTGTGGTGGTTTGTGCCTATAATCCCAGATACTCAGCAGTCTGAGGCAGGAGAATGGCTTGAACCTGGTGGGGAGAGGATGCAGTGAGCTGAGATCATCTCATTTCACTCCAGCCTGGGTGAAAGGGTGAAACTCCATCTCAAAAAAAAAAAAAAAAAAAAAAATGGTCGTTTTGATTAAAGAACTGTTGAATGAAAACTCTTCTGTGGTACAGTTTTAAATATACCATATGGGTTTTTTTATTTTATTTTGTTTCATAGTTGGTTGTTTTTCCCCAGATAGTATATACGTGTGCACAAAACTTTTGAATTAAATTTCTAGAAATATTGGTAACTATGTAAATATGTGTATGTGCGTGTGTACATATATATTTGTGTCTGGGTATTATTGTGTTTATTTTATGTGTGTATACACACACACATAGACCTTCTTTTAACTGTTTTTCATGTTCTTGCAATATGAGAGTTCATTGTCGCTTTTCCTAATGTCCAAAATAAGACTTGGAACAGTTGTATAAACTCAAAACATGTTCATGAGAGAAATGATTTCACTTACAATGTGAGTAACAGCCAATTCAAAACATAACATGTCAGGAACTCTCTGTTTGATCAGGTTGTTCTATTTAATTTTGACAAAACAGAGATAATGAAACACCACAGTACAAATCATTTGGATTGCATGTCCAGAAAATGCAAAAAAAAAAGAAAAAGCACATCTTTTATATGGCTTTCTGCCCAAATTGACACAAAACTGGTCTCCTCCAAGTAATAGGTTTATTAAATTTCTTAGTCCCCCTGTGGGCAGAGATCATTTAAAGCCTCTCCCAATAGCAGTAATGCTTTCTGGCTTCTGAGTCATCATAGTTAAAGAGACTTAACTGCAGAGGGACCCCCAGACATTTCTCTGATGATTTTCTAAAGACATAAGAAATCTGGCTTAATGTAAGAGAAGTACTCAAACAAAGCGATATCCAAAACCATTAGCATTTCCAAATGCATTTTAGAAAATTATCCCCATAAATTGACTCTTCATTTTTCAAGTCACATACGCGAAATGCATGAGTCATACATACAGAGTGCTGTAAAATGTTAGAACAATGTGTTCAGCCCTTATATCCCATCGGAGAAAAGTGAGGCTGAGGGAGGTTACATGAAAGAATGAGTAGGAGTATGTTATAAATAGAATCCTAAAATGTATGGTACAATTATTTGGAGAAAATGAAACAGACTGGCCTGTTCTATTTAAGCTCAAAGGAGGTCGTCGTAACTGTAAGGATCCCATGAGTCCTCCATTTATTTTAACTCTTAGCAGAAGCAAAACCCAGTTGAATCCTCTGAAGGAAATGAATTTGGCATTGCTTTAAATTGCTTAATTTGGTATTCTTAGGGGAAAAAAGTGGGAACAACCAGTTCCTTTTGCCATCTCTAAAGGAGCTGTCCAACATTCCCACTGAATGGCTTTGTGGGTTTCCTGACCTAGATTGAGATGCTCCAGAAATAGGGCATGTCAAAATTCCCTTAAGAAGACCCTTTCTCAGCCTGTTACTCTTTTACTCTTTTTCTCACTTCTCAACCCCCTTGTTTTTTAAGCACCAATATCCCTGACCTGGCAAGCTCCGTTTGATTTCACCAGGCGTGTGTCCTGTGTTTCTGGACATCAGGAGAGAAAATGGTCAGTGCGCTCTGAATTAATGCGGGAAGACATTGGTTGATCACTACCATTATTTCCCCGTTCCTCATTTTTTTTTTTTTTTTTTTTTTGAGACAGTCTCTCAGTCACCCAGGCTAGAGTGCAACAGTGCAATCTCCGGGTCACTGCAACCTCTGCCTCTCAGGTTCAAACAATTCTCCTCCCTCATCTTCCCGAGTAGCTGCGATTACAGGAGTCTGCCACCATGTCTGGCTAATTTTTTTTTTTTTTTTTTGGTATTTTTAGTAGAGGTGGTGTTTCACCATATTGCTCAGGCTGGTCTCGAACTCCTGACCTCAGGTGGTCCGCTGACCTTGGCCTCCCAAATTGCTGAAATTACAGGTGTGAGCCACTGTGCCTGGCACCCTATTCTCTTTTAGAGGTTTCTACTTTGAATCTTGTCTCTGTTCATGCCCATTTTCCACCATTTGCCCCATAATCTCTTTCATTTTCCAAACTATTTGTTTATTAGAAAACCAAATCCAGCAGGCCTAAAAGAAGTGTGGCTAACAGCTGTAGAAGACTTCCAGGAAACCTCACTCCAACAGCGGTAGATCTTCAGTCACTGGTTGTTTTATAAAGGGTTTAAACTGCCTGGATTCAGTAAGGTTATGAATAGATAAGAATTGTGTCACATTGTACCATATTTTGTTTTCTGTCCTTTTCCTCAGGATCATTCTAGATCATTCTGATTAACAGGCCGTATTTCTGTTTTGGTCTTTTTAAGCCACTTTATGGAGATATGGTTGACATATAAAAGCTATACATATTTAATGTATACATCTCAACAAGAGATTTGCTTTCTCTTGCCACCATAACAAATTAACACAAATACAATGACTTAAACCAACACGTGTTTATTATGTTCAGTAAATAGATTAGAAATCTCACATCTACAATCAAGGTGTCAGCTGGGCTGTGTTGCTCTCTGGAGACTCTATGGGAAAAGGCGTTTGTTTGCGTTTCCAGTTATAAAGGTATCAGCAGCTTTCTTGTCAGCCAAGAGGGTGAAGCCCTCAATGCGTCACTCTGACCTTTGTCCACAGGCTCTTCTACCTGGAACCTTGTCCTCCTGCCTCTGTCTTCCACTTTAAGGATCTTTTTCATTACATTGGGCCCACTCAATAATCTAGTATAATCTCCCCATCCCAAGCTCAGTAAGCGCATTGTTCTGCAAAGTCCTCATGAGCCATGTCAGGTGACACATTGACAGTCTCCAGAGAGCAGGACCTCGGGGCTTGGGGATCTGTCTGTAGCAGGTATGATTCTGCCTCCCACAAAGCCATTCAGTTGAATTCTTTTCTTCTAAATCTCAACTGAAACACCAAGTTGTTAGAGAGTTCACAATTTCACCTAATTTGTACAGTAATCATCTTCCTTTAAATTACGTAGTTTGTAATGAAGAAACAACTGAGTTTATAGCATCAACTTTGTGTCAGATGAGAGCTATAAGATTAGCTCCTGGCCCTGTAGACAGCGATAGAATAACAACACAGTTCTAAGGCCAGGTCTCATTTGGAACAACCCCCTTTCCCAAACAAACAACAAAAGTCTATGAACATTTGTTTAACGCAAAAGGTCAAATCAGGAAATTCATGTACAAAAATCGACTTCGGGGTACAATTCATTTGAATGGCTTCTTCATGGAAAATGGATTGTATAATTGGTCTAAAGCCCTCACCCTTGCTTCTCTATAAAAGGAATCTGTGCAAGGCTGAGTGTGATGGCTCACGCCTGTAACCCTAGCACTCTGGGAAGATGATGGGGTTGGATCACCTGAGGTCAGGAGTTTGAGACCAGCCTGGCCAAAATGGTGAAATCCCATCTCTACTAAATATACAAAAATTAGCCAGGTGTGGTGGCCGGTGCCTGTAATCCCAGCTACTCAGGAGGCTGAGGCAGGAGAATCACTTGAACCTGGGAGGCAGAGGTTGCAGCGAGCTGAGATTGTGCCAGTGCAGTCCAGCCTGGGTGACAGAGCAAGACTGTCAAAAATAAAAGGAATTTGTGCAGGACTTACGCATTTTTTTTAAACCTGAATTACACTAGGCTGCTATGCATCATCTGTTTATCTTCCAGCTCGGTGTTTTTGTTGTTGGTTTTTTTTGTTTGTTTGTTTGTTTTTTGAGATGAAGTCTCGCTCTTTTCACCCAGGCTGGAGTGTGATGGTGTGATCTCAACTCACTGCAACCTCTGCCTCCCAGGTTCAAGCAATTCTCTTGCCTCAGCCTCCCGATTATCTAGGATTACCTGTGCCTGCCACCATGCCCAGCTAAGTAGAGACAGGGTTTCACCATGTTGGCCATGCTTGTCTTGAACTCTTGACCTCAGGTGATCCACCCACCTTGGCATCCCAAAGTGCTGGGATTACAGGGGTGAGCCACTGCACCGGGTCTGTTTTTACAAATCGCTTCATATATGCTAGAGCAGGGGTCAGCAAACTAGTACCTGCAGGCCAAATCTGGCCCATCAGCTAAGAGTGGCTTTCACATTGTTAAGTGACTGAAAAAATACAATCAAAAAGTAACTATTTTGTGACACAAAAAAATTGTATAAAAATTAAAATCTCAGTGTCCGTAAATAAAGTGTTATTGGAACACACCCACTGCCATTTTATGGCTACTTGCCAACTACACCTGCAAAGTTGAACAATTTCCAACAAAGACCATGTGACCCATAAAGCCTGAAATACGTACGTACTCCCTGGCCCTTTACAGAAATATCCTGTTGACTGACACAAAACTATCATTGTTCTGAGTAGGTATTTGGAAATACAGATGAGGGTAAAGAGTGGATGTGGGTGTAGGTGGTGGTAGAGAGGGGATTTATTTGTGATCATTATTAATGTAGGCATGCAAATAAAGTGCAATTCCAGGCTGGCACAGTGGTTCACGCCTGTAATCCCAGCACTCTGAGAGGCAAAGGTGAGAGGATTTCTTGAGGCTGTGAGTTCAAGACCAGTCTGGACAACATAGTGAGACCCCCAGTCTCTACAAAAAATTAAAAGATTACAAAACTATCCAGATATGGTGTGCACATATAGCTCTAGCTACTCCAGAGGTTGAGGCAAGCGGATGGCTTGAGCCCAGGAGTCGGAGACTGCTGTGAGCTGTGATTGCACCACTGCACTCCAGCCTGCGTGAAAGAGCAAGACACTGTCTCAAGAAAAAAAAAAAATTCCACCTGGTTTTTTCAGTCAGAACCGTTCATAAGTAATGCGAGTGAGAAAATATATATGTTCAAAGCAGCAACAAAACAAGCATTGATTGCGGTTGTGAAAAGTTTAGCAAGTACATGCAGCTTCCTACATTCGCTGATCTTTTGTATTCATAGTCTTCTATCACCATATGAAATGGAAACTTACAGGGGATTGAATAAATATCAGTGCAGTATTTTGAGGGCTTTGGATACTATTAGCTATGTATATATTTTACATTAGGATCGTATCTGATGTGGAAAAGGTAGGCTTGCTTCTGTGCTTAATTTCAGTGTATATCTATGTGTTTGTAGTTTTTAAATTTTCTATGTTTGAATTTAACGTTTTTTGTATGTGATATTTGTGTGTATAAAAATAATTATTGATTTTTAATATACAAAGAAACTAATGATTTTTTTTTTTTTTTGAGATGGAGTCTCAGTGTGTTGCCCAGGGTGGAGTGCAGTGGCGCGATCTCAGCTCACTGCAAGCTCTGCCTCCCAGGTTCACGCCATTCTCCTGCCTCAGCCTCCCGAGTAGCTGGGACTACAGGCGCCCGCCACCATGCCCGGCTAATTTTTTGTATTTTTAGTAGAGGCAGGGTTTTACCGTTGCCATGATGGTCTCGATCTCCTGACCTCTTGATCCACCTGCCTCGGCCTCCCAAAATGCTGGGATTAGAGGTGTGAGCCACTGCGCCCGGCCACAATGATTTTTTAAAGTACCTGTAAGTTCAGTAAGTACAGGTGAGTGGCACAGACTGGGGGTTTTTGAATCTAGTTTTTTAGACATTCTCCGTATTAGGCAAATAAGTATGTGGCCTATAGAATTTGTAACATAATCTCACCAGAAAAATAAAAAAAGGTGATTAAATATGCCTTGGAGTCAGCTGTGTCCAGCTGTCACCAGCCAGTACTACATAAATCCAAGCAAAGAGGCAAATCTGAGCAGTGTACTTCTCTTACAGAAGATTATTTCAAACAGTGGCATAAACACTGTTGTAATTGGTTACAGTCAAGGTTTGGCTTTTAACTTAAAGTGGATCCTGTACATTTTTAAACCTGAGAGTTGGAATAGAGCCCCCTGACATCAGAAAGCTTGACTATGTATTTCATCTGGTGTTGCTTCTTCCAGGTAATAGAATAAGTAGGGAAATGCTCTCTACACAGGTGACCCATTTCGTAGGAAATCGTCTGTGTAGAAATCAGGTCCTCAGCTTTACCAAGCAGCTGCGGCGCTCACAGGCAGGCCCACACGCAGCACCACAGTTCAAGTTCCTGCTAAAAGCAATTTGCTTAAACCCTTACAGATTATCTACACTAATAAGCATCATTTTGAAAATAGATTTTGTTACCAAGATGCAAAATAATTATTCAGTGCACAACCACTTGTAGAGCACATGGAGAATGTGCTTCAGGTACATTTACATGTGCATCTCTATCATCTTTCGACCCTTGATACAGGTATTTTCGTGTCCAGTTTATACAATGGGTAACAGAGGTTCATAAACATGATCCACCTATGTTGCTTCACCTAGCACAAAGTCGAGCCAGCACGCAATCCTGTATCAGAAGCATCCTAATCCAGTGATGCTTATGCCACTGAAAAACTAAATGTGTCCCTTGCGCCTCTAACGGGCAGGAGCTTTAATATCTTGGAATGCTTTTATTCCTTAGTAAGCACATAAGGTTTTCAATAGTGAGAAATAAAACACATGATTGTTTCTGACAACTAAACTGCACGTTGTAAAGTGAAATGGATATTTTAAACAGCTTAACCAGAAATTGATTGCATCTTATTTTTAAAATGAATGCACTGCTTTCTTAAAACATAATTTTATTCCATTTCAAATCTCTTTTGCAGTTCTTGTCATCAATCTCATAAATGGTCCTCTTCTTTACTTTGGTAGGAAAGGCCCAGGTTCTTAGTCCTGCAAATGGGATGCTGGGAATATAGCTTGTTACCAAGCATGAGAAACAGTTTGTTGGCGTCTACTTCAGGTTACATAGAATTCGTAAGTCTTGTGGCCGGGCGCCGTGGCTCACGCTTGTAATCCAAGCACTTTGGAAGGCCAAGGCAGGCAGATCACCTGAGGTCACAAGTTCGAGACCAGCCTGGCCAACACGGCAAAACCTTGTCTCTAGTAAAAATATAAAAAGTAGCCAGGCATGATGGCGCATGCCTGTAATCCCAGCTACTCAGGAGGCTGTGGGAGGAGAATCGCTTGAACCCAGGAGGCGGAGCTTGCAGTGAGCCGAGATCGCACCACTGCCCTCCAGCCTGGATGACACAGTGAGACTCCGTCTCAAAATAAATAAATAAATAAATAAATAAATAAATAAATAAGGAATTACTAAGTCTTCAAATTGTGAAACACAGAATTTTATCATTTTCCTATTTCTTTTCCTTTTTTCTGATTCATTGTGATTAAGATCTTGATGAAAAGAACTAAGAGATCAAAAGAATACCTCCTCCTGCATTCACCATTAATAAAGGAGAATGAAAGTATCAAATATTTTTGAAAACATTCATTCCATCTAGGGATTTAGCATTTATGTTTGGGCAAAGATAAAATCATCTTGATCGTTTTAAGGTTCAAAGTCAATTAATACATGGCCTCTGTTTTAAGCATCTCAAGATGAAGGATTTAAGTAATCGGATTTCAAAGCGGGTTTGATATAGGACATTTGCTCTGTTGGTTTACAAGGGAGATTTTTTTCCTCTTTCTCTTCTCTAGGCTAACTGGCATGAACCTCCCCTCTCCAGTTATCAGTAGCAAGAATTGGCTACGACTCCATTTCACCTCTGACAGCAACCACCGACGCAAAGGATTTAACGCTCAGTTCCAAGGTAAGGATGCTCCATCTTATAAGAAAAAAAAAAAACAGAGCGTAATATATTTTGATCCTTTCTAGCCATGAAATTTTAGGAGTTGGATAAATAGCTTGAAAATGGTTTCTAATTCTTTTATTCACAGTTATCTTTGGAAATCATATAGTCGACAGCTGGGAACTTATTAGTAAAGCTATATCACTATCACAGTATACAGGATATGTATAGTTTCTTGATACACTGGAACAATTGCTAAGTTTTAATCAATAGCTATTTATTATCATTGATTTTAATTATTATGCATCTAATCTGTAAATATCCACAGCAGTTTGGCTATTGTATTTACATTCATGTTAAGCATGCTATAGCATATAGGTTGCATGAAAATGCACAAAAAGTATTGTAATATCACTTTTAATCCTAAAAGGTCTTCACACCACATAAATGCATGATTCAGTAATTTACACACAATGAATCTTAAAAGAAAGATTCTGGATTTCCTGCAGCTGAGCAAAATGGGGAGTCTGTAGTCATTAGGACAGAGCTTGGTAATGAAATGTTCTTTTTCTCTCTGGTTTCTAAGGTTTATACCTAGATCATATTGTATCATTTCCTGTATGTTTCTAATAATGAGTAATCCTTATTAACACAGCAAAAAACTATTCAGTTTATTAAGCAGTCTCCTAAAAACCATTCCACTTCGATTTCCAAATTAAAATAACATGACTTTGAAAATAATGGACCTTCCCAATCAAAGTGCCTAAGCTTTCCCCACATTGTGACGATGAGAACGTTGACCCCATTAAGGTAGCATTCGCTGAACACCTGCCATGTGCCAGAGAGGACACCAAGCCCTGCAGTGCCAGAGAAATTACAGCATCCTCCATGCTGCAGGAACTAGCAGGTCACGGAGACAGTTTGCAGTTTGTAAATACCTCCCATGAAAGTCAGAATGCAAAGGGATCTAATTATAGCTCCTGCTGGAGATTTTAGTAATTTTTCAACAAACTGGTCTAAATATCTGTTATCTTACACATTTTAAAATCCATAATGCTTTCATCGTTTCCTTCAGGATGACCAGTAGAGAAACAAGGGTCAGTTGCGGGGAATGAAATGCAGAGGGTGCTGAGAAGTACACATCGGAACCAGCAGTCTTTATTTGCCACCCAGTCCCTGGGGCACATGATGTACGCAGAACTTCCTGCCTCAGAATCCAGGGGCAAATTCGTTTCAACAAAATATGTTTTTTTTTTTTTTTTTTTTTTTTTTTTGCCAGGCGGGGAGTGGGTGGCAGTGGACAGAGTCTTGCTCTGTTGTCTGGGCTGGAGTGCAGTGGTGCAGTCTTGCCTCACTGCAACCTCCACCTCCTGGGCTCAAGTGATTCTCCTGTCTCAGGCTCCCGAGTAGCTGGGAATACAGGTGCAGACCACCACACCCGGCTAATTTTGTATTTTTAGTAGAGATGGGGTTTCGCCATGTTGGCCAGGCTGGTCTTGAACTCCTGACCTCAGATGATCTGCCTGCCTCGGCCTCCCAAAGTGCTGGGATTACAGGTGTGAGCCACCGTACCCAGCGCCAAAATATATTTTAGACTTCATCAGGAACATTGTCCATCTTAGATTGCCTTCTGATGTTGCCGGAAGGTTCTTAGCTTGATCTTCTTTGGTTGCAAAGAAGCTGCCCTGAAATTTTATTAGAGTGAAATTAATGTGCTTTCCCTTCACCTGGAGCCAGGCCAGGCCGATCCTCCTTTTCCATACCTCCCCATATCTGCCGTTATCTTGTGACTGCCATATACTGTGGCTGTAGTTAGAATGGAGTAAAGGTGGGATGGACGTGTTGGCGGTGGGAGGTGGGTGCACACCCAGGCTGGGTGGGTTTGAATGAGGAAGACTCCATGTGGTCTGGTAGAGAAATTCTGTCTGCACT
This sequence comes from Homo sapiens, assembly GCF_000001405.40. Taxonomy (NCBI): domain Eukaryota; kingdom Metazoa; phylum Chordata; class Mammalia; order Primates; family Hominidae; genus Homo; species Homo sapiens. Next base: position 3,752,018 of record NC_000008.11, on the reverse strand, counting down.
TTCTCTTCAGTGATCCTTATCTATGGATATGTCCATCCCGTACCAGATTTAACATAACCATAAGTCAATATTTACAAGGCCAATGGACTGATCCTATAGTCAGTTAGGTTGATTAACAGATTTGTCTCTAAAATGTAAATTGATCTTTTCCTAGAGCTCTCAGTAACTGAACAACAGTGAATTAAAGAAAAATTTCTAAGCGTTTGTTTCTCAAACCTGATCAGTGAACTTGGCATTTGTATCTGTAATTGAAAGAAAGGTTAAAAATGGAATATCAACTTTGAAGCTGCTCCAAGATGGTAGATATAAGAAACTCATTGGTTGGCAGAAAATAGCAATCACTTAGATGTATCAGACGTTGATTTTAAAAGTTAAAAAAAATATGTAATTAATGAAAGTATTATATAGAGTATATAAATTATATAAACAATACAACTACATTATAGAATTAAACTGTACGTACGTTATACACACTTCATTCTTGTATATATTATAGAAGCATAAATTATAATTACATTATTTATATATATTCTATAATATATGCTTAATTATATATTTAAGTATAAACATTTATATGTATAAACTGTATGTAGTTATATTTAATTAAATTTATTGTATTATATTTATATAAGAAATATATAAATAATTTATATATAGATGTAGATGTGTGTTCGTGTATATATATATATATACACACACACACACACACACACACACACTTCAATTGTATATATAAGGAGAGAGGAGTCAAAAATTTGGCATTTAATTCTAAAACGGTCAAAAGGTATGAAGGTATCAAGAGAGGTAAGCCTGGCTTAACAGTAATGCATTAGGAAACATTTCAAGGCTGACTTTAAAGTTCAGCTCCAAGACAACACGGTACAAGGAAGTTACCTTTTTTTCATTACCACATGGTCCTCATTGAACAGGGGACTTCCTGCTTAAAACCACATTTACGCAGACTGCCTGTGGAAGGTTAGGTTCAGTACTAGACACCACCCTCTGAAGAAGAAGAAGGACCAGAGAGAGGAAGATGACAAGACCCATCAGAAGGAGGATGTGAGGAATCTTAGAGGGCGCATGGTGCACAGTACGCAGAAAGGCACTACGATTATTTTTCTGGATCCAGAGGGCAGAACTGTTACCAAGGAATGGAAGCTCCAGTATGGTTGCTGTTGCTGATTCTAGAACAAACCTAAGGACAGCTGGAGACAGAGCAACAGCTTAGGATGAGATGGGCCCTTCTCAGAGTCCCTGCCAGCCACCCAGCCCTCCACACGGGGCTGTCCTGGTTTTTTGCGAGTAAGATCATCAAGTTTGTTCCTTCAGAGGGCAAATGTGAAACCTTCTGTCAAGCAGGGAAAACATTTGTTCAGCTGAATCTTCCCTCTTGTCTATACCGAGATTAAAAAGCATGAAGCCCAAATTGTATTGTACCTTTTATCTGAACTAAATACATTAAAGAAGGAAAGCCTGATATTATTTGTGCCAACAAAAATTGCGAAACAAAAAAAAAGCATAGTCGATTGATATTTGGGGACTAATAAGACAACAATAATAATTATAGTGAAAACTTACATAATGTAAACATTATTGTGTTATTTTCATCTTTCCAAATGTTGTCAAACAACTTGAATCATATATATCGTATATTTAACCTGAATCATATATATATGATATATATAAGATATATATATACATATAAAGTGGAGAAGAACATTTTAAAAAGAACATACATTTTTATGCTTCGCATATATTATAATCTTTTTAACGTTATTGTAGTCACGTTTATCATTTATGGTCATTTGTAAGAGAACAAAAATTCCGTCAGTGTTACTTGGATTGATACGATTGCAGATTATCTGGAATTCCTAAGAAACCCTTTGTGGTTCCTAGCCTTCCTCATATTCAATGCCTCCCCAGCCCAAAGCAACTAAAACAAACAGCTTGAAATTCCAAATTTTAAAACATAAAGAACTCAATAATGACTATATTTTTTGCACTATTGGTAGAAATCTGAATTGATATGACCGTTTTAGAAAACTGTTTTACCATCAAGCTGAACATAAGAAACATTTCAGGCATGCGTCCAACAGAAATGAGTAGCTACACACAATAGGTACAGAGAATGTCCCCAGGAGATGCGAGCACCATTGTCAACCACCGCGAACCACCTCAGTGTTCATTAACCATAGAAGTAATAAACAAACATGGAAAGAGAGAAACTACCTCTACATGTAACGACATGGGTGACTCTCACATACAATATTTCGTGAAAGGAAAAAAAAACATAAACCGTATGATTCGTTTATATGAAATCAGCCCACTGGTGGTCTCTTTCTATGAGAAACTTCTTTGTTTTCCAGCGTATGATGCTTGGACAGAATTGTGTAACTTCTCAAAGACAAATAATATATTCTTTTTAACTTGGTGCTTTTCTTGGTCAAATAAATGACAACCAACATAAAATATTCTTTCTACTCTTCCCTTACATTTTTAACTTTCATCTCCAAATTCTTTATTCTCGGAGTCTTACACTTTCTTCTTTGACTTTCACCTCTCCAATTATATCATCAAGTCATGTCAGAAGCAGTAGTAAGGTTGCTTGACAAGTAAAACTGTTCTACAGTTGCTACTCTTAAAATCTATTCACTTTTAAAATGACATTGTGAACAAAAGTAGTAGAAAACGCAGGGGAAAAACCCACAATATATTTGCAATATCTGCTGTATATATTGGGCTGTGGTTGAATGTAAGATTTATGCAGGACACATTATTTCTTTAAATCAGCTGAAAATTGAGCCCATTCTTTATATGTTGCCTCCATCATTAATTATAATTAAATAAGTGCCTTGTAAGCACAATCCATCATCTAGACGTTTTCAGTGTCTACAAGATAAATTTTTTGAAAATATATTAATCTTGAACCATGAGGGCCCCCTCACTACTAAATAGTCATCTAAGTGTTGGGCTCCAGTTTTACACACCTTTACCCGGCTGTTTATAAAATTACAATTTTCATAAAATGAAATTCCCATTGATTTTCTGTAACTGATAAATCATCATGAAAGTAAGTGTTTGTAATAAAATTCCAATTTTTATAGGGAACATTCATCTCATAAATCAAGGGAAACCCTGACAGTGGCGATAAAGCTTGTGTTGACACAAATAATTAGTTTGTTTTTAGGTTATAGTTCCCTATAACTATTGATTTTCCCTTTTAATTAAAATGAAGACCTTTATACCAAATGAAGACTTTCATGTTATTAGAAAGGCATTTTGAGTTATTGAAAGCCCCATGTTCCCAGGTTAATTCTAATTTGGATAAAACGTATGCATTCCCCATTCTCCAATGCTCACATTTTCTGAGATTTGAAATGCAGTTTCCAGAGCTCTATCTAGGAGTATACCTGGATTCTGGTGGCATGCATGGTTGCCTCTCCTTTTAAAACAGTGTAAAAATAATAACAACCATTATCTAGAACCTGGAAAGTGCTCAGTTACGTTTAGCGGAAGGAATGGAGGAAATCAAGTGCTCCTATTCCCCTCAAGGTTCCACGGACCACTGCTCTGCAGAGTGTCTAGAAACCTCCACATGGGCCTCCTGCCTGTTTCCATGGCAGTGGACCTCCCTTGCTATCTTGTATTTGAGGGAACTATTAGGTAGGTATGGATGCATGAAGTATTGTTTCAATCAAAATAAATTACTGAAATATATTATAACCTTTAAATAATTCTTAAAACCACTAAACCTCCATGAAAAAAAATAGTTTTTAATAATATAACTCATTCAAATCAGAAACACGTAACCACTTTTCCTAAATATCTACTTTAATTTCTCTCAGAACAAAAGATTCTTGTAAAGTCTCAATGGCACAAGTTTTAAGATTTTGGAAAAAGTGTCCATCTATGGGTTCCAAGCGACTGACTCTTACTCTGCACTTTTCATTAAGTACTTACGATTAGCCAGTACCCCTTCTACCTGTGTGTCTTGCTACCTTGTTTTATAAAATAGAAATAATCACGTCCACCTTGGAGAACCATGGTGGACTTCTAGACAAACGGAAGAAAAGTGGGACAAGGGTTTTTTCTAGGGCTGGGAAGTGGGAGGGAGCTCGCCACACTGAGGACCTTCCTCAGACTCAATGCCTCCCCAGCCCAAAGCAACTAAAACAAACAGCTTGAAATTCCACATTTTAAAACATAAAGAACAAAACAATGACTTTTTTTTTGCACTATTGGTGGAAATCTGAATTGATACGACCGTTTTAGAAAACTGTTTTACCATCAAGCTGAACATAAGGAACATTTCAGGCATGTGTCCAACAGAAATGAGCAGCTAGGCACAACAGGTACAGAGAACGTCCAGAGGAGATGCAAGCGCTATTGTCAACCACTGAGAATCACCTAAATGTTCATTAACCATAGAAGTAATAAACAAACTTGGAAAGAGACAAACTGCCTCTACATGTAACGACATGGATGACTCTCACATACAATATTTCATGAAAGGAAAAAAAACAAACGTATGATTTGTTTATATGAAAAACAGGAATTTGCAAAGCTATGTGTTCGCATGGATGACCATTAGTAAAAAAAAAATACTGTGTCTACATAATATTTCTGTGAAAAAAGTGTTTTCAAAGATGATCAGAACAATCTCTTCCAAAGAAAATGATGGATTGTTTAGAATTTGCTTGCAAATGGGGCCACATAAAATTACCTAGAGAATCCCTCCTGGATGGCATGGGGTTATTGGATGGCAGAACAGAAAGAAGCTTCAACTCTCATGCGAGAAATGGAGAGATTAAGGGCTGTGGCTCTCGTCATACAGCTTGCAAATGGCAGAACCAGGATGTGAGTACAGGCTGCTGTGCTCTTGGCTTCATGTCAGTCTTTACAACTGTGTTTCTCCACCGACTTGTCATACTGCTCCCACTACTTAACATCAGAACGTGTTTTAGTTGAGGGGTGGTGGATAGTGAGTTATTTTTATGAAATAAAATTCCTAATGAAAGGAGGAACTTTTTCGGATAGCTGTAATTTAGTCACAGCTTTATTTCTCAGACTGGCCTGTTCCAGGCAGAAAGCTGACAGGCCAGTGTCCTGACCCACTGTACTCAGTCCTCTTGGGCTGGCCATGTGATGACAATTTCTTAGCCCCACCCTATTGACCTTCATCAAAGAAGATAAAACAGGCATGATTATTTTGTTTCTCTCGGTATATTAAAAAGTCATAAATGTAAAAGTTCATTCTGAACAGCTTCTGGGTATCTGGTAAGGATAGGAGAAATACACTTAAATATTAGTTGTAATTATTTTGAGTAGATATTGGGGATAATTTCTTACTAATGTTGAAACAAGAGAATAAATTTAAGAAAGATATGAAATATTATTCATCAGAGATGTTAAATTAATGAATAAAAATCCCACGCAGACTAATGGAATACATGAACATTTGAGTTCATGCCAGAATTTTAATTCAGTGCACTTTTATGTATTGATTTATTTTAAAGTTGTGTCTCTGAAATATTAATGCATGACAAACGTTTACTGTTATATATAAAACCACTTTAAATCCTTCCTTTCTCTAAACTTTGAAATGTGGTTGACATTGGATAATTGGGGGCCAACAATGGTATCCAGTAAATCTCAGCTATTTAAAACAGATTAATACTTGGCAGTGACTGGTAGATTTTAAGTTCTTATGCTTCAAGAATAAAGTTCAGGTAGGTTATCAATCCCTTCGTAAATTGTTTTCCCGCAGTTTATAGTTTTGTGATGTGGAGGAAGAACTTATTCTGGCTTTCAGCATATCAGTCCTAAACTGCTATTCTTTTCAGCGTATCAGCCCTGAGCTGCTCTTATTCTTCATGTTCTCTGTCTCATGCAGGCAATATCGTTGGCCAAATCTGCAGACAATGTTTCATGTTTATTTGCTAAATGTCCGTGTGTACCTCTTGTAGGTAGCGGTGTGCTTTGGAACGGTAAGCATGATTGTGTCTACTGTACATGTGAGGAAGTTGTCCACCAAAGTCTTCAGCATTTACATTGACCAACTGGTCATGAAGTCTGGCCTTTCCCCCCGGCCTGCTGCTGTGACCAGGTTGGCGAGCTGCTGTAGTGACTGCTCCCCAGGCAATTACCTACATGATAATGTGGGGAAACCACAGATTATTCACAGCTGTAGGGAAACCAGGAAACCTTCAAAGGCACAGGTTACATTGCTTGTTCTCTTAATGATCTGAATCAGGCTTCTGAAATTGAATGGCGAAGCTGTTGCTTAATGAAATAAGGAATCTACTCTGAGGAGGTTAACGTCCTTACTCCAGCAGCTGCCTGACTTCCCCGGGGATTCATGCCCCTTGTGAAAAGACAAATGCTTCAGAGTCTCAGTGGAGTGCTCAGAATGAATCCAGAGATGAGTTCCAAAATGGTTGAGGAGCAAGCGTAGCAAAAGATGAATGTGGCAACCACTGAAAATTGTGATGATTAGATCCTGGGCGAGTTTCCTGTTGTACACGTGCAGAACCTGGTTTCCTCAGACTGTCTCAGATTACGTCAAGTTGGCATTTACTCACCTGTTTGTAAGACCTTTCTTTGTCAGAGCAATTTTGAAGAAATGTCTCAGAGGGTTCCCTCCTGCTGGTCAGCTCAGTCTCAGTGGTAGTTTTTAAAGGCTCATGAGATTCCAACCAGGTTCTTGCAGAGCTGACCATCATGTTCTTTCCTGTTGTGAAGGTGGCATATTCTCCTCCAGGGGAGCCTTGTAGTTAACTTTTGACCATGGCATAGTCTACAATTTACTACCCCAAAAAATATAACAGAGAAATGATAGAGTTCAAAATGGTTTTTCATAGATATTTTGAAATTTGTTTTGAAAGTAGTAAGAGCTTTGCTTTCTCAAGACACATATCTAGGGCTACAATTCAGCTTGTATGTCCATAATGGTTGTTAACATGTTGAATTATTTGCATCAGATGATAAATATTCACTGCCCGGAGAATCCTAAGAGCCTCCCAGCCCCAGCTACTCTAGGCTTTACTACAAAAGGCCTCAGCCCTGTCCTCATTAAAGCCCTTAGAAACCTCAGTCTGCTTCAGGCCCACTCAACTAAAGCGCTCAGCATGTTTGAACACCATCCCTTACTCTATCTGTGATGAGCATTTATCAGACTTAATGTTCAGTTCCATAGATATATGAAACAAAATAAATAAGAATGTCATTCATTCTAGAGAAATATACACCAAGTCTTGAGAGTACCTACATTACCCTAATGCTGTAAGTCACTGACTCTTCATTTCATAGCCCAGACAACGTTTCATGTTTATTTGCTACCTGTCTGTAGGCATCGCTTGTAAATAGCATGTGCTTTGGAACTTGAAGCATTACAATGTACACTGCACATGTTAAGCTGTCCACCACAGTCATCCACATTTACATTGACAAACTAGTCATGGGAGTCTGACATGAAAATAAAGAAACGAATCTTTGGATCTATTTTATTTATTTATTTATTTATTTTTGCCTCCAAAAAGTTTAGAAGTCCTAGTTAAAATCTAGTTTCCTAGACTTTTTTCCTGGTTAAAATCTTTCTATGGAATAAAACCTCATGTAATTCATTAACCTGGGTTCCAAATCTGGTCCTGCTGTGCCCTGTTTAGTAATCAGTGGAAGCCCACAGGGTATCACAGGCAGAGTAGATGCTCTCCGTGCTGTGTCCCCATCCGCCTTTTCAAACTCATCTTTTGATCCGTATTCCAAACTTCCCATGCTCCTGTTGCACACACCTGCTGCGGCTTGAACACGTCATCCCTGTCCTCAACTCCCACTCCCGCCAGACCTTCCATGCCCTTGTCAATCCAGAAAAGTGACGAGACAAGTCTCAATCATTTCAGGAGGTTTACTTGCCAAAGGGAAGGATGCATGCTGGGGAGACAGGTCTATGTCCTTCTCGGAAGAGGATTGTGAGGGCTCCACATTGAAGGGGAAAGGGCAGGATATTGAGAAATACACAATTTTCATGTAACGGGGGTAGGGGAAGATAATCATTCATGCCTCTGTCTGGGTCAGTGATTCTCCAATTTTTTATGTAAGGTGACAAAGACAAATGGTGCAGAGGAAAAGGCAGGGAATCTGGATTTTACATACGATAACATAGACGAAATTGGTTAGAGGAGGAAGCAGATATGCATTTGTGTCTGGTGGGCAAGGGAGTGACGGCAGCTGTAAAGATAAACTTATCAATTTACATCGCCATGGTGAAATTTTAACAGAAACACCTGGGAGTAACGATCTTGCAGCTCACTAGGAATGTCTTTATGGGAAAAAATACGGAGAAGTGTGGAGCTTTTCATCTTGTAATCACCTCATTTAGGAACCAAAAAGGGGAAGGAAGGTTTTCGAGACCTAGTTCCCAGCTTGACTTTTCCCTTCGGCGTAATGAGTTTGAGGTCCCAAGATTTAATTTTCTTTCACACCCTGCAACCACCCTTGTTTCTTTCCATTATTCTTTTTGAAGAAACTTTTTCCAGTCTTCTAAGTCAATATCAATTACTTATTCAGAAGTCTCCACATAATACTTATTATTTTCTAACACCATCCTAATGTCACACTATTCCACGCAATGCAGTTTTATGTGTGGACGGCAAATTATCTATTTTTCTAAAGAGCAAAAGCAGCAAGTTGTTTGTTGCTTCCAGCATCCAGGAAAGCCATCTCCAGAGAGGCAGAATTCGCTTCATGTTCCTTGAATAATTCCTGGAATATTTCAATGCCTGAGCAAAATAAAACCACAAAAAAAGGGCAGAACACTCTGCATTCATGAAAAGAGTCGTGTAGCACAGTAGAGAGATGCTGGCTTTTGGAGCCTGAAGACCTTCATGACACTGAGCAAGTCTCTCAGTTCCTTTAAAGGTTTGTTTATCCAGCAGTGAGATGGAGCTAAGCACAGCTGCCATACAGGGACCATGGCGGTCAAGTGAGACAAGTGTGCTAGGCGTATGTTCCAAGGGTGGCGTGGATTTTACTGCTTCCACTAGTTGTGTAGTCTGTGCCTCGTGGTATCCTGTCAAGAAGATGAGTGCGACATGAGGCTGCTCAGCGCATTCGCACGGAAATACTCTGTTATCCATTGCAGTCATAACACATTTAGAAACGCAGAAGTAACTCTTCACAGTGAAGAAGTTGGGTCTCCTTATATGAGGAGTTCTCTGTTTGTTTTTTGTTGTTGCTGTTGTTGGTGTTTTTGTTTCGTTTCGTTTTGTTTTTGTTTTTTTTCTTCTCTCTCTCTCTCTCTCTGATCCTATGCAAGCTTCTCAGGTGATTAAACTGGAGTGCTGACTCTGAGTGTAGGTGTATGGGAGAGACGTCCTTCAGGACGAGCAGAAGGAAAAGTGGACCTGGGCACGTCCTAGGGTGAAGCACTACTGGCCCGGGGCAGAGGCAATGCGTCACTTTCTTCACCATGTCCACAGGCAGGTTTATTTTATTTTCAGTGCAGTGCCAACTATCCATCAGAAATGTTTTTAAAAATGTATAAATCATAGACCGCAGGCCTATTGTAAGCATTAGATAGAGGAGCACAATTAAAAATTTACTGACTCTTTCTGCAGGAGTTTACAATTTTACTTATAGTTCTTGAAAAATATTCGGGTCAGATTCGCCACTGAAATGTTAATGTAAGTTATGGACTGTCTCCCTGGATACCAGATTTCATAAACATTTGTATGAACGTTATGTTTACCTGAAATCTTAGGAGTAATAAAATGTCTAGGTGAGAATTAAATCTATCTACAGAACATCCAGATTGGAATGATCACTTCTCCTTAATGGTGGGCTATAGAAGACTCACTTTACAGAAAGGCGATAGAAGTGACTAGGTGGATAGACAAATAGACTGATGGACAGGATTCCTCATCAGCAGAGCCAGGTGCACCAGGATGTGAGGCAAGAATGTGCTGAATGAGTGTGAAGCTGGGAAGAAAAGGAGAGAATTCCAGCCTCGAAAGGCAATTTGCAGGGTTAAAAAAAAAAAAAACCAAGATTCTTTGGAAAAAGTGGAATTAGATTTGCCATTTGTGGGAAATAATTATGAAAAAGTAGGTTTGGGCCAGAATATGACTCACATGGTAAGGAATTGGAACCTTTACCTTTGGTCCACAAGAGTTTGCTAAAGCCGACTTGAGCACATTTGAGAAAGAAAGGGTAGAAGGGCCATGGAGGGTCATAGAGAAATGGGCATATTCCCACAAATAAATTCAACCACCACTGGGTATTTTCTTCTTTCTCAGTAAGAATGCGCACTCAGAGAGGAGAAATTTTGTGTAGTGTTAATTTCCCAGTTAGAAGTTTAGAAATCCTTATTACTTTTCAGTTTTGCTAGAAGTTATCTGTCTGCACTATTTGCACTGAATAATTCAGGTTCTAACAAACAGTTAATCTTGAAGTCAAAAAATGCATATCATAAATGGATAGAAATAAATGTGCCTACTAAAAACTGTAAAACAAAAGGAAATGGGAAGTACATTTTACTTGGTAAATATGTAAAATTGCTACTCCCTCTGTCATGATGTAGGTACACAAAATGATTAACTTCAGAAGCTGGATGGGATAACCTGGCCCTATATGCCATCCTGTGATACATTCCCCTTCGGTCTCCCCTCTCACTGTCAAACTTCTTGAAAGGGAAGCTGCAAACCTCTTTAAACATTTAGTCTCTGACCTACTAAACTCTACCGCATGGAGTCATACCTCCTCTACCTTCTTCTTCTGTATGTTTTTTTTTTTTTTTTTTTTTTTTTTTTAAGACGGAGTCTTGCTCTGTTGCCCGGGCTGGACTGCAATAGCACGATCTCAGCTCACTGCAACCTCCACCTCCCAGCTTCAAGTGATTCTCTTGCCTCAAACTCCAAGTAGCTGGGATCACAGGCACCTATCACCACACCTGGCTAATTTTTGTATTTTTAGTAGAGACGGAGTTTGACCATGTTGGCCAGGCTGGTCTGGAAATCCTGACCTGAGGTGATCCGTCCACCTTGGCCTCCAAAGTGCTGGGGTTACAGGTGTGAGCCACTACCCCTGGCCCCCTCTATCTTCTTCTGATCCCAGTTTCCTCCCACCCCTGGGCACAGAAGCTGAGTAGGGCTCTGCCTCATCCTCTCTGCTATACTCTCCTCCACTGGGCACTCTGTTGCCTGCATAGCCTCCCTAAGCTGATGCTCAAGGTAAACACAGTGATTCTTCATTTCACTTTTTCCTTTGCTTTCCTTTGTGGAACTAGGTACCAAGTCTTTTAGACTCTTCGTTTGCAGTTTGTTTTGTTTGCTTCGACTCCTCTTCCCCAATACATCTCGTAAAATCTACATCCCAGGTCCCTACATTTGTCTCTTTACCAGCATCAAATCACACTACCTCAGCCCCTGCTCGTCCTCCTTCCTGTGTGTGCCATATAACTTTCCCTGTGGCAGAAATCCTTCTCCTTTCCGTCTGTATATCACATCCATCGGTGAACCCTCCTCTGAGTATTTTACCGCAGAAGGATGGCTCCCACTTCTGAGTTCTCCTGCAAAAGTCTACCTATTTTTCTGTACCAGGCATTTGGCTCTTATTCAGCATTGCATTTTATCATCAGTTATTCTTTAAATTTGTGCTGCCCAATGAAAGGAAGGCGGATCATTTGAGTTAAGGAGTTCGAGACCAGCCTGTCCAACATGGTCAAACCCCATCTGTACTAAAAATAGAAAAATTCGCTGGGCATGTTGGCAGGTGCCTGCAGTGTCAGCAACTTGGGAGGCTGAGGCAGGAGACTCACTTGAACCTGGGAGGTGGGGGTTGCAGTGAGCCAAGATCATGCTATTGCACTCCAGCCTGGAGGACAAGAGTGAAACTCCATCTCAAAAAGAAAAATAAAATAAAATTTTGTAAAATGAATACCTTTGTTGCATCTTTTACTCTATGAAAAACAGCATATTGTAAGTGGCTACGAATTTTATTGGTATTTCAATGACTCCCAGAAGAGACCAAGACAATTTTAATGATAGGGATCATGAAGGAGAATCGAACTCTGGCATTAGTTTCTCTGTAATTTTTAGAGAAAATATCCTCATTGCTTGAAGGCTGCAACCAGCATTATTTACTGGAGATTCTTCAACTTCCCTGCTTTTTTAATTGTCCCAAATGTAAAATGTCTGCATTCTTTGTTACTAACAAAATTGAATTTTTTTTTACCTTTTTCCATTGATCTCAGCTGACTGTAGCATCTGTTGCTATTTTTGTGATAACTGTGGATCAATAGTTTAAAACTTATAATACCCATTATGCCATGTGGTACAGTCTTACAACACAGGAATTTAAACATTAACAGATTTCCCTATGAACTGTAAATGTTCAGCACAGAAAGGCCTTTTGAGAGACTTAATGTGTTAGTTTTCAAAAACTTAAGCATTCCCAGATTTAATCAGTTTTCCCTTTTTTTCAATTGACGTGTAATAATTATACATATTTGTGGAATACAGAGAGATATTTTGAAACATAATATGTGTAGTGATCAAACCAGAGTAATTAACGGGTGCATCACTTCAAACATTTATTATTTCTCTGTGTTGGGAACATTCTAAATCCTGTCTTCTAACTATTTGTAAACGTGTAATAAGTGGTTAACTACAGTCACACTGTGGTGCCATAGAACACTAGAACAGATTCATCCTGTCTAGCTGTAATTTTGTATTCTTTCTAAAGACAATCTACAGCTTTGTCAGAAGTTTCAAAGGATGAGAACAGAATGCCTGGGACAAAAGTTTGAGGACAGGAGTGGGGATTGCATTCCTTACAGTATCCGGCATGCATCAGATACTTTAACTGCAAACATTGTTTAAACTTACAATTAACTCTGATCTAAATAAAATGTAAACTTATAGAATAAATCCCCACTATTTTGAAATTAAACCTGTGTCAGGTGAAATGTAAGAACATAACTAGAAAACAGAAAAAAGAAAGACATAGTTACAATATAACAATATATATCTCTGAATAGATCATGTCTAAAGTTTGAACACACCTTTTTGTGCATACAAATATGCGCATTCAGCAAGGACAGAGGGAAGACCATGGAGGCCTTACAGATTTCGAGACTATGAATGAAATATGAATGCCCTAATAAGTAACATTTATTGATGCCTATTTTAGATGAAGAGAAACATGGTGTCACGCGTGTGAGCCTATCTGTATAGTGCACCCAGTTGACGGAGGTTGTTTTATTTTACGTTACTCTGAATTTGTCTTTGAAATTAGGGTTGGTGACCACAGGGTGGCACCTTCCATGTGTCTGTGTGCATTCAGTAGAAAGACTTATCTGTTATCTAAGCCCTGTCTAAGGCATGTCTTCTCTTGGTCCCCTCAGTGGTGACTGCTGCCACCTGAGGATGTTTGCCATCCCCGTGACAAGAGCACAGAGCCCTGAAAAGGGAAGGGCATTCATGTTTGGCGGCAGGACCAGTATTTGCATTTCTGATCACCAGGATCAAAACTCTAACTTAAATTATGTATTCACTGCACATATGAGCTTCAAGTCATTTTCCCCCAAAATTGAAATAAATAAAAGGTGTGACAACCACCATGCATATTTTATGAGAAGAATGTACAATTGTAGTTATTTTTGCCAGGCCCCAATGCCTGTATGCATTGTACGATGTATTGAAATATGCAAAATACACATACAAATATCTAAGACTTCTCTTCCTTCCACTGTGATCGTCGCTATTTTCTGTTAGGGCTCTCTTGCTTTTTAAGTAGCATAAAATTCACTACTTCATATAATTTATTTCTGTGCTTATTAAATGTATAGATCAAAGGGCATATATTTTTATTACACATGTCTACTAAATGTATTTAGTAAATAAAAGTGTATGTTAGAGCCCACACAGTGCTAATGGAAAGAGACTATAGTAATCATTTACATTAGTGTTTGAAACTTACAGACACCAGAAAGGGAGACATGGCCCCTTTTCACTTCATTAGTTTGTCACTGCATTCTTCTGCAATTTATTACAAGTAATTTAGTTGTTTCTTTTAAGAATTTCCCTTGACAATTATCTACCTTTAGAACACAAGCAAGTCAGAGTTTGAGGGAATTCTCACTGGGCAAAGACTAAATAAGGCTGACTTAACATTAAATGGGTTATGTTTTGGTAGTTTTAAATACTACCATCTTGGCTATTTTTATTTGTCTCCTTTGATTTCAGACGATTTCATGGGAGCTTAAATGAATGTGGTCAGAGAATCTTTAATTAAATATCACTGCCTCAATTTGGAAGTCAGAAACGTGAAGACAAGAAATTGTAATTGATTTTCCTGGTCAGTGTGGATTGTTGGGGCAACCAAGGTAGCTTAAAAAAAGCTTAGTAACTGAGAGGGTGATCTCTCTTGACAGTGTTTTAAATGACATAGGAGGATATATGCTACTCTGTGCAAGGAGATTGGTAAAAAGAAACCAGTAACAGTGTAAGTAAAAAATGTTCAACAGAGAAATTTTTCAACAGAGAGCAAGATGATGGCATTTAACAATTAATTTTTCTGTAACTTTAATTCTAAAATAATTTGCATTTCTTTATCAGTAAAAGCATTATAGAAATAAAGATTGCACAATGAAGAATGTGATAGAGAAAGGGGGGTCACATTAGGAATGTGAGGTTTGTGGTCAGCTGTCTTTGCCTCCTGAAGGAAGTCACATCAATTTACTTTAGCAAGATAAACTTATAGGCCATTACTCCCAATCGGCTTATCTCTAGAAAGCAAAAAATCAATGATAATTTCTCCCGATAGTCATTGTTTGTGATTAGGGTAGGAAATGCAATTTTTATTAAACTAATTGTCTCTGTTCCCATCTAATTTAAGATTAAAATATAATATGGGACTATTGTAGTTACATGACTATAATATAAATGAACACTGACTTTCAAATCCGCTTAAAGCACTTTATAATTGGACGTAATCATGTAACCACAGTCGTGTGCTGAATGTCACCTGTGTATCAGATCCTGGGAGGAAATGACAGGAGGTAGGGGAGAGGGCTCAGGGAGAAACCTTACCCAGAATGCTTCACACGGAATGTTCTAGTAGGATGCACACAGCACCTTCTACATGCCAGGCATGGCTTTCACCCATTCATATGTAGACATACGTAACATCCCAGCAGCCTCACAAAACAGGGCCTATTTATGCCACTCCCACTTTGCAGATGAGGATCTGAGGCAAAACGACACACCTAATGATTGGTAAAGGTGAATTTGAAGCCAGGCAGTGTGAAGCAGGTGTGTCCTTATCCCCAGCTCCATTCTGCGGAAGCTGAGTCAGGCCAGGTCGCAGGTGATGGAAGACCTGGGGCATGAGAAAGATTCACTCTGCCATTGCCTGGTGTTGCAGGAGCCAGGGCCTGGGAGCCATGGTGAGGCAGGTGGTAGACACACTGGAAATGATATTCTACTCATGTGGTCCACACCAGTGATCCCAGCAATTTGGGAAGCTGAGGAGGGAGGATCACTTCAGCCCAAGATTTCGAGACAAGCCTGGACCACGTAGTGAGACCACATTGCTACATTTTTTTTTTTACATTAGCCATGCATGGTGGTGATTTGCACCTGTGTCTCAGCTTCTTGGAAGGCTGAGGTAGGAGAATCACCTGAGCCCAGGAGGTGGAGGCTGCAGTGAGTCGTGATTGCCCCACTGCACTCTAGCCTGGGTGACACAGTGAGACCCTGTCAAAAACAAAACAAAACAAAACAAAAAAATACACACACACACAAATGTTGAGTGAGAATCAAATTGTGTTAATACACATAGAATATGATTAGACGCAGATGTGATGCGATTACAGGGTTTTATGAGTACTGAAAAGATTTAATGTATGTAAACTGCATACAACAGTGTTGGAAACGTAGAATTTATATTATTAATCTCCTTCACACCTGCTTTAGGTAGTTCTTTGTATTTCTATTCCCTCTATTTTTTTTAATCCACCGCACTTATTCCCACTGAAAACCATGTATTTTACCCATTTACCTGTCTACTGTTTATTTTCTTTCCCTAGCAAGAAAGCTTTAGGAGGCTGTAATTTTTGTCTGTTTTATTTATAACTCTATGTCATATATTTAGAAAAATTCTAGGCATAAATTAGGAAATCAATGCATATTTTCAAAATGAATACTGATAGAAAGTGTAATTGGCCAGATTAGCAAGGAGCATGTGTGGTATCTGCAGCAACATTGTAAAGGCTAGAGGTGTGGTAGGCCTTGCTCCAAACGAGTTTCTGTTGTCCATGAATTTAATCCTGATAGCAAGCCTCTCCAGAGGGCAGCCCATTTCTCAGCCGAGTGAACCAGGGCACCAAGAGATTCAGACTTACCTGTGGAGAGAGTTAAATGAGTAGTGAAGTCAGACACTGAAGCAAGTCATGCTGACTCATATTTTCTAAAGGCAGAATTTGCTTTTTACTGTGTAACTGGACAGAATCAGTAGCTAATACACAGGGAAACATGAATATATTGACACAGAGACTTCTAAAACATTTTGCCTAATACCTGCATTTTGTAGATGCATTCTGGAATCATCTAAGGATTTTGTAAATTATACAGTTGCTCAACTTCCAGGATTAAAAGTCTTGAGTCAATATTTGCAGAATCTGGTTGTGTGTGTGTGTGTTTGTGTGTTTTGTTTGTTTTTTATCTTGCCATATATGATGTATAAGCCAAGTTTTGGATCTGTGTTGAGTAATATCACTAAATATCCAAATCAGACAGAAAGCCATTAAGGAGCCAGGGGCAACTTGCCCGTTACCGTGTGCCTGATCAAGGGAAATATGACTTGGGAATGTATCAGCTGAAGGAAATGCTGGTGATTGAAAAGAGTTATTTTGCAAATGTACCTGTTTCACATCGTTGTGGTGGCTGGCGTGTGTCCTCCCATGTCCACATTCATATCACCTATTTTGTTTTACAAAAACAGCATTCCCTCCTCACTCCTCTCTTTGCACACCACAGGGGAGCTATTGCTCTCAAAACAAGAACAGAGGCTACTCTGGAGGGTTTGGATGAAGTAAAAGAAGAGTTATGTCTCTAACTGGAAACGGAAAATTGCTTCAGTACAGCCCTATTGTAGCATCAGCGGCATTAGATGAAGTTTCATGGGAGCAACCAGAAGGAAGGTATCCCCGTCACGGGGCCTCAGCACCCAGTTGCAGAGAGCAGAGAGATCTGATTACAGAAGAAGCAGCCACATTAGGAGAGTTTCTGTATTTCATTTTACTTATTTTTTTGAGACAAAATCTCACTCTGTCACCCATGCTGGAGTGCAGTGGCGTAGTTTTGGCTCACTGCGACCTCCGCCTCCCAGGTTCAAGCAATTCTCCTGCCTCAGACTCCCGAGTAGTTGGGATTATAGGTGCCCGCCACCAGGCCTAGCTATTTTGGGTATTTTTAGTAGAGACAGGGTTTCACCAAGTTGGTTAGGTTGGTCTTGAACTCCTGACGTCAAGGGATCCACCCACCTCAGCCTCTCAAAGTGCTGGGATTACAGGCGTGAGCCATCGCACCTGGCAGAGTTTCTGTATTTTAAATTGAGCAGTGTTCCCAATGCTTCCAGGCAGAAGCAAATCCATTTTTCTACGATGCTGTCGAACAGCCCTCATCAGTCTCTTGGCTATCAGTAATAAATAAGATGCAGCAGACCCCGCCTGGAAGCACTAGGGAGACACTGGGAGATGAAACATGGAATGGTGCTGAGTAGGAAGCCGAAGGCTCCCATTCTCATCGTGAAATGCAGGCTTCCAATTCCATGCATCAGCTCAATGTTTTAAGTAGTATATTGGTAATGGTAGTATCCTTAAATAATTAAATATCTTTATTAAGTATTAATTTAGCACATTGGAACTCAAGGATAAGAAGTTCACTTAAAAATTCTTTGTATTTTTAAACAGCTTGCATTTCTTCCTGAGTTTATTCACTGCCATATACACACTCACACCCTTGCACACGTACAGACATCCCCCCCTTATCCTTGAAGGATAAGTTTCAGGACCCCAGTGGATGGCCGAAACTGTGGCTAACACCAAACCCTACATAAACTATGCTTTTCTCGTACTTTGTACCCATGATAAAGTTTAATTTATAAACGGGGCACATATGAGATAAACAATAACTAATAATAAAGTAAAAACAGTTCTAACAGTATGCAAGTATCCACCCGCTTGCCATCATTAAGTACAAGTAAAATAAGGGTTACTTGAACACAGACACCACAACCCCATGGGCGTCCATCCAGTCCCTGAGATGGGCACTGAGTGACTCCCAACTCCAGGCAGGCGGTGCAAACAGCAGGGACCTTCTGGACAGAGGAATGATTCGGGACCGAGGCAGGATGCAGCAGGGCGGTGCAGGGTTTCATCACACTCGAAGAATGGCCCGCAACTTACAACTTAAGAGTTGTTTTTTTCTGAAATTTTTCGTTGAATATTTTCAGAACGCGGTTGACCGTGGGTAACTGAAACCGTTGAAAGCAAAACATTGAATAAGTGAAGATTAGTGCATACATACACCAAATCAAAAGTACATTCTTACAGGTTTCTATCATCTAATCCAGATAATATATATTATATTTTATATATATATTATATATATAATATATATGTCTGTGTATATATATTTGTACATATATGTATGTGTATATATATTCATATGTATATTTATGCATATATAAATATGTGTATGTGTATATATATTAATATGTGTAATATATGTATGTGTATGTATGAGAGAGAGAGAGTGTGTGTGTGTGTGTGTGTGTGTGTGTGTGTGTGTGTATTTATGGCCTCCTGGTACTGAGTCTAATTCCTAACTTCTTTCACTTTATCTTTTCCACTTTAGCCTCTGTTGGTAAAGTTTGTGTCACTTTTATAAAACCAATCAGCAGCATTTACTTCGGCTGACATATTCCCAAGTCAGATTTCCCTTGATCAGGGCACACGTATCTTTAGGTAGGTAGGTAGGTAGGTTGGTAGATAGGTAGGTAGGTAAGTAGATAGATAGATAATGGATAGATAAATAGTTGTATGATAGATGATAGATAGATAGATGATAGATGGATGGATAGATAGATAGATCTCTTTTAAAACAGATTTCAAAATAGTCTTGAATCACTCGATAAATACCTGAGATGAGGCCAGGTGAAACGGAATCACTCAGTGGGATGGACGTTTCAGCTTAGTAATTAAGCATTGAGTTTATCAGGTGTTACTCTTGAAGGTTCAGTTCATCTGGGGCATTTTTTACTTTTCTTTTTTTCTGTCTTAAAAAAAATCAATTTAGGATTGAACTCTGTTCAAACAAGCAAACAAACCAAAAAGGTCTTAAAGGCAAGGGTTGCTGAAATGCAGCTTTCATGGTGCGTTGCCTGGGCATAAAGTCAGGGTGTTTAGTAGAATGTACTAAGAAATTATACAGAGTCTCAGCAAATATTTTCCTCTTATAGCTATTGAGCTTATGGTTCTTTTTGTTTTTTGTAGTTAAATTACTATTCCTAAGGAATGAGTCCTTCCAGTATGACTTGGTTCATTATTAATTTCATTGAAGGGTACAGCTAGAAAAAGTCCTTGACAATAAAATTTCATTGGTTTACTATGGTGAGGCTGTGATCCACACAGGTTAAATGACTTGATCAAAATTATTTTTAGCGGAAAGATTTTAAGCCTTTCTAAAGAGGGCAGCTTTGTATCGAGTAATTGCCCTGCAGGGTGGCCTCGGGCGAAACTGCTAAATTGATAGAGTCCTCTCGGAAAGACTCTGTTCCCAAGGCAACCACCACGAGTGACCTGAACTCAGGGCTTGCCCGTGGCTTCCGCTAGGAGCCCTCTCCTCCAAGGCCCTCCTTTCCCTGGTGGCATCCATTTTATTAGGCTCTTTGGTCATAGGAATGGAGCATTTTTTTTGTCTAAAAAATGTGGAGAGCATGCATTCTGCTCTTCTTACAATGTTGCTGCTGTTCTTTAAATATCTGCTGAGTTCAGTGAGAGCCCAGGGTTTGGAGTCCATTGTATGGTTTCAAACCTCAGGTCCAAAACCACTAAGGTCACATTATTCAACTGCTCTAAGCTTTAGTTTCCTCATTTATAAAGCAGTGATAATGATGGAAACTCACTCATGGGTGGTGAGGAGTAAATGAAACATCACATGTCCAAAACATAAGCACTTAATGCTGTTACCATTAATATTGGTATTGCTCATCATCTTAGTCTCTCTACCTGTAAATTCTGTGCTCTAAGCCTCTGACCCATTTATACTTTGTTTCCTCAATTGTTGCTGACCTCCCAGTACCGAGCATAATTCCTATCTTCTTTCAGTGCATCCTTTCCATTTTAGCCTTGGTTGGTAAAGTTCATATCACTTTCAAAAACCTATTTTAGATTCTTCACGGGTGGAATCAAATCACCCCAGCCATACTGGCTGCACTGGGTCAAGCACTTATCCATGAATTGTCCAACAGTGGCTGGGCAAGTTTCGGATTGAATTGAAGGGGTTAAAACTGGTAGTCATTATCATGACCATGCCAGGTAAAGAATCCCACACTCTTACCAAGACAAGCAACATTTCTCCCTGTATTAGCCTGAACTTCCACTAAAATGAAATATTCCTCCATCTCTTTCTTTCAAGAGAGGCATTCAGAGAGACTCTGTTTGTGGAGATGCATCTGTATCTCCATAAATGCTGGTCAATGTAGAATGCACGTCATTGTTTGCTGGGGGAAGGAGGACAGTGGGAAGGTGGAGAAACTGCTTAATGGGTAAGAGGTTTTACTTTGGAATGATGGAAGTGTTAACAGACATACTGAAATATTTATGGATATATAGATTTATGTTCTGGGGTGTGCTCGACAATAAACTTGATTGGGAAGAAAGTGTATAAGGACGTAGGAAAAATAGCTGTGATAATTATTACAGCTGAGTGATGGGTATCTGTAGGTTCAATTCACTTTTATCTGTAATTTTGTGTATGTTTGAAATAAATTTTCCCCACTAAAATAATTTTTACAAAAGCAACCTTTGGCAAGAAATGGCACTTTGAAGCAGCAAATTGGTCTACGTATTATAGTGGCTAAAAGCACTCTCTCTTATCACCTCTAGCATAATTTCCTAATATCTGGCATAACATGAATGGGGTTGTTTTTGAACATGTCAAAATATTAGGTTAAGGGTATCACCTCTGAGTGACACATAACTCTGGTCCTATCTGCATAGAACTGTGAATAAGTTTCTAGGTCTGTTTAATGGAATAAACAAGGTGCCTTTTGGTGAGGTTAGTAAATGCTGGTGAAGGTCAATCTGTCAGAAGAAATGTAAGCTTTTTAGAGGATGACATAAGTGAGAGGTGCACATGTAGGCACTGAAACCATATAGTGTGTGCAAAGCTGTTCATTGGCGGTAGCACTTTCCTCTCCTCGCTGTGATCCCTACCACTAACCTGGGGCCAAATCAGCATCAGTCAATTAAGGGATAATGGATCTCTTGAGAGCCTTCTTAGACAGCAGTCTTTGCTCTGCTAACCTAGAGGTTTGCTCTATCCCAGCTCAGTGGTGATCAGACACAGGGCAAAAAAAAAAAAAAAATCGCTCCTTAAATTTTTTTGGGAGCATGAGGAGAATGCATCAGTGTGTTCATTTATCTACATGAAGGAATGGCTGAGTCAGGGATGATGCATCCAAGGGGCTCCATGTGCTCAAGGTATTTTCTCATCTCGAATTTAACCATATGGGGAATCAAACTGGAAGCCTCATTCTCTGCCTACCTGTTGGAGACATGATTTTGGGGGAATGGAAGGACTTGAAGCCTTCAGGATGATCACATTGTCTCCTTGTAAGTAGTTTACTTTTGCAAACGGGAAAGTTCTTTTGGGGTGAGAGCAGAATCACAGCCTTAAGGTAGAGGACCTGTGGAAACACTTGCAGCGCTTCGACCAAAGATTTTTCTCCTCTGAACTTTTTGAAACATTATTATGTATCCGTTCTTCTGTTTTTGTTTTTTTTTTTTTTTTTTTTTTTTTTTTTTTTTTTTTTTACTTTGAATTGGCAAATAATAATTCTGTAGATTTGGGGAGTACAGTGTGATGTTTTGATACGTGCTTCAATACATGGAATATGCAAGGTGCCTTGTTTATAAATATGCTGTAGAATGAAGAAATCATGGTCATCAGGATATCTATCACCTGAAATAATTATGTCTTTGTGGTGAGAGCTTTTAAAATCCTCTGAGCTTTGGTGGAAGTGATAGGGACTTAGCAGAAGAAGAGGCGAGTTTCATCTTTAAACACTTCGCTGGTAGCCCCCATCGCTTCCTCTAAGTTGAGTTCACCGTCTTTCCACACTAAGATCTGCTAATGGCTTCCAGCAGGTTGTCATGAAGTCTTACTGACCCGATACCTTCTGGACATTGTCAAGGCCCACTTCGATTCCTCTTGGGCAGGTTCCACAGTCTGTCTTGCTGGGGATACATATTGCCTCTATGTTCAAGCACTTGAAATGTATTTCATCTACTGGCGGATATTATATCCCTCTTTTAACATGCAGAGAGTTGTGCCTAAGAACTGACTGAGCACAACTGAGCCCAAGGCGAGTGAGTGGTGGCAGAGCTAGACTGGCAAAGTCTCACTCCGAAGCCCACCCTCAGACAGCATCTGCCCTGCACGAGCCCTGTGCCAGGAGGTGAACACTTCCTGTAGCAAGCCGTCAGTCATTAAAAAGGCAGGGAAGAGTGTGCCTGACCTGAGGTCTTTTTAAGACGGCATTGCTTATTGCGTGGCAGTAAGTCTTGTCATGAACGAGTTAGTTAAATGTTCCACAAGTGAGTTTTCTGAAAGTTGTCTACTTTAGCTCGAAACCTTTACTTCCCTGGCTGACATGTTCAGATCACGTGGAGAATTACGGCCAGACTTTGGATTAGAAGTTTTGCTGGTCGGTTTGGCGGGGCTCCCCACAGAGGACAGTAGCATCACACTCTACCACCTCAGCCCTGCAGATATTCGAACGGCACTCATTTGCATTATTTTGGGATTATTGATTTAAAATGCAGTCGGTGATAGATTGAAAACCACGTGGATGCCAGTATCCCTGCCTTAGTCCATGAATCTGCTTCAGTAAAAGAACTAATGTTAGAAATATTAAGGGGGCATTATCAGTCAATGTGCTGAATAAACCTCATATTTGACATTTGAGATGTATTAATAGTTCAGCTCCATAACTTAAGACAGACCATGCCCACCATTTTAACTTGCATCATTTGCAAGATTACAAGAGCACTCTTTCTACTTTCTCCTTCTGTTCCATCTGTGCTCCCCACACGACTGCTCCAGGATGGTGGTCTCTACCACAGATGCCCTTTTTCTTTGGTTAATGTGCAAGTCAGTCACACCACTGAAAGGCTCTTGGAACATAGGCAAACCTACGTTTATATTTATTTTGAAAGAAAAGTGCTAAGTTTTATTATTTTACTTATTATTTGCTACTCTGTTACGATAAACCTAACACAGAATTTACCATCTTCACAACGTTTAGATGTTGTATTAGTCTGTTTTCATGCTGCTGATAAAGACATACCCAATACTGGGTAATTGATAAAGGAACGAGGTTTAATGGACTCCCAGTTCCACGTGGCTGGGAGGCCTCACAGTCATGGTGGAAGATGAAGGAAGAGCAAAGGGATGTCTTACATGGTGGCGGCAAAGAGAGAATAAGAACCAAGAGAAAGGGGTTTCCCTTTGTAAAACCATCAGATCACATGAGACTTATTCACTACCATGAGAACAGTATGGGGGCAACAGCACCCATGATTCATTTATCTCCCACTGGGTCCCTCCCATCGCACGTGGGAATTATGGGAGCTACAATTCAAGATGAGATTTGGGTGCGGACACTGTCATAGCCAAACCCTTTCAAATGTACAATTCAGGGGCATTGAATACAGTCACACTGTTGTGTAGCCTCCACCACCATGCATTTCCAAAACTGAAAGTCTGCACCCATTAAACTCTCATTACCCATACCCCCTCCTCCCTGCCGCTCTTTGAATTTGACTACTCTAAGTATCTAATTATCGATGAAATCATACAGTATTTGTCCTTTTGTGACAGGCATATTTCACCTGGCGCACTGCCCTAAAGCTCACCCATCTGTGGCATGTACCTGCGTTTCCTTCCTTTTTAAGACTAAATTATAACCGATTATATGGTCAGATCACATTATCTTTATCCATTCATGTGTTTATGGACAGTCTTTCTGCCCCTCCTTGGTTATTGTAAATAATGCTGTTTTAAACTTGAGTGTAAAAACATCTACTTGAATCCCAGCTTTCCATTATTTCAGGTGTGTACGCAAAAGTCGAATTGCAGTATCATATGCTCATTTTTATTAGTATTTTTTCGAGGAACTTCCATACTGTTTTTTCACGACAGCTGCCTCATTTTACATTCACACCAGCAGTGCATGAGAGCTCTAGCTTCTTACTCTTTATTCATTTTTAATGCACACATTGGTCACCCTCATGTTAGAATATTAGACAGGAAAAGCCCATCTGAGCTGAGGTATCCACTTGGTACCTGGGCGGGGCTGCCAGCTCTCTGGCACCCTCTGTAGGTATATTTATGGGAACTGCAGTGCCACCGTTCAGGCGGGAGGCTCTGCAGATGAGCTGACTGCCTCAAAGGTATGTGTATGTAGAATTACTTTCCAGAGGTTAGTTTTCCTCTTGTGATAATTGTCAAACGCAACTTTGAAAATAAACACAATTTAAAATTAAACATTCACATTGCTCTAAGTATGGTTTTAAAATGAAACACTTTTTAACCATGTTTAATATCATAAATAATTGGTATTATGGGATAGTAGTAAGTTGGGTAACATTAAATGCCATTATCTTTATATAGAGAGAAAAAAGGATAGCTACCATTAGTAACTAAGAGAAAATAAATGCAAATATTGAGGGTTTGTGTTCACAGTGTTTACTGGTGGTATGTATATTCATAAATGTAATTCTTCAGAGTTTAGTCATTAATTGTTAGGTTATCTGTGTATGATGCTAAACAGATATTTCCTCATGTTTTTTAACGGGACAGGAAATCTATCTTTGGGCAGGGAGACATTGCTTTACAGTGACTCAAACTGATTATTAAAACATTAGATATTTGCACAACTCATTTCCATCAGAGGGCATGCTAAGAATAAGGCTCAGGAATGAGAACTGGACTGGCAAGTTCCCTCTGGTATTCAAGGGCCCATAGGTAAATATACACCTCGTACCACTCACAAACCAGAACTACAGACTGATGTCACCTGTATGATGGAACATAAAAAAGGATTGATGTACCTACCCTCGTAACACAGGGAACTTCACATGAATATCCAGATTTCCTGCTTCTCCTGAAAACATGAAGATTCAAAAACACTGGACCCAAACTATGCAAGAGAATAAAGGTGTTCAGAGTTGGCCTCTCATCTCTGGTTTAAAGCATCCCATCTGGCTCTACACATTCAATACCTGCTGACCCCTGTCCTTGTCACCAATCTCATTCCATCCTTTCTAATTATAGAGACTTATATTATAGCCTGAAAGATGGTGGTGGATTAGTTCTATTGCTACAAATAAATTACCGGAATTATTATTGGCCTAATGAAGAAAGGTGTCTGAGCTCACGTATTTTTTAAGGGAGACGATGTGCAGCCTAGCTGGGCTGTTCTTTCCCAGCCTCTCATGGGTTTACAGTCAATGCTGGCTGGGGCTGCAGGCAACGGAGGCTGAGTTCCAAGAGCTGATTCGTGTGGAGATTGGCAGGACGCCTCGGTGCCTGCATGGCTGTTGGCAGGGACCTCAGGTCCCTTACTAGGTGGCATTCCCGGTGGCTGCTTGAGTACCCTCATGGCATGGCTGTTGATTTCCTGAGAGCTGCATAATTCTTCAAGAGAGAAAGAGCCAGCAGGAACTTGCAGTGACCCGGTCTCCGTAGTCACACACAATTACTTCCACTGTTTTTTCTGTTCATTGCTTGCGAGTCATTAGGTCCAGGCCACTATCAAAGAAAGAAGGAGTAGGCTCCATCTTTTCAAGGGCATGTTTAATAATGGTAGATGTATTTTTATCCACTGCAAGTGGAATACATGGGTTGAGATACTGAGTCACAGTCCTTGAAAGATTCCTAGATCAATGGTTTTCACGTGTTCCCAAGTCCTTCCACTCTGCCCTCACTAACAACACAGCAGTTGGTATGTGGCCCTCTGCCTACTCTCTCATTGCAGTGGTGGCTGCCCCTGCCACATCTGAGACCGGGTCCTCCACTGCTCACTCCATCCTGTTGCTTGGACATCACTCCTTCCCTGAAACCTTCTCTCTCCTAAGCCATCAGGCTTCCTCTCTCCTCAACTGTTTCTACTTAATACAAGCAGCTCATGGGAGGGACACAAACCCACATACACATACACACACACATACACATTCATATCACCCACAAAATCAGCACCGGTATTTCTCCTTTGGCCCCACAGTCGCCTTCAGCTTTGGTCCCAAATCTCTGCTTCCTTTTAAAAAATAAAAATGTTCAAGTGATGTCTATCCTGGTCATCCAGGTTCTTTGTCATTGTTTCCCTGTCCATGCAGGGATATGTTTGTCCTGCCCTATGACTGAAATAGCACTTGTCCAGGTCTTCATGGCCCTGGACCTGCCAAACTCATTGGTTACCTCTCAACCCACACCTTGAGGGCCTTCCTAGCAACACTAATCTCTTTTCACTTTCATTTCCTTGAACCTACCTCCTTGCCTTCAGGGCACAGCTCCCTCCTTTAGTCCCTTTCCTATCTATCTGCTGTGTCTACCTCCTTTGCTGAAAACTCACCTTCCAAACCGCTATGCTGAGGGCCCTTAACCTCCTGCCTCACTCCTCTAGTCGTCTGGAGAGGTTAATGGGCCTCTTCCCAGAATAACGTTTATAGCTGTATAAAATATTAGGATACCAAACAAAGCTAGTTGCGTTGAAATAGTCATCAACATATTTTAAAAAGAATTTGTACATAGTGGGGCATGTGCTTCTTTACCATGGCAGATCTAATAGCGACAATAGTCTGAATTTTAAAGTAAAGCTTCTGATATCTGCCATCACCGTTAATGTGATAAGAAAATACCTACAGTTTCTGCTGATGGCAAAGTACTGCTGGTATTCTTATGGCTTTTTGCTTACACTCATAACAGAAGAAAATACTAATTTTCACTTAGAAGGCAGTGTAAATAAAAATGCATTTCTTTTCCTATTTAATTTCATGGACTCCCTGAATTCTCATGGTTGAGCCCAGGGTAAATGTCCTTCCTGCATACTGGGAGTGACCCAGAGGCCAATTCTCATTCCCCCTCCCTAATTCCTCTCCCAGCCCAGAGGAAGGGTGCTCAGATCATTCAGCCTTAGGACCCTTTTGAAAATGGTTGAAAATCCCAAACAGCTTCATTTTTTAAAGGTTATATAGCTACCAATACTTAATATATTCAGAATTACATTGAGAGAAAATTTTAAATGTTTATCACTTCATTTAAAAGTGACAATACTCCTTTAGAAATTAACATATATATTTATGAAAATAAGTATATTTGACCAAACAAAAACCCGGGATAGCATTGGGAGATATACCTAATGCTAGATGACGAGTTAGTGGGTGCGGCACACCAGCATGGCACATGTATACATATGTAACTAACCTGCACAATGTGCACATGTACCCTAAAACTTAAAGTATAATAATAAAAAAAAAAAAGTAGTAAAAGAGGTAGCATTGTTTTCTATTTTTGCAAAACTTTTTAACGTCTGGCATGGTGAAAGAGGCTGGTTTCTCATATCTGCTTTCGTATTTAATGTGCTGTGCTCTGTTATTCTGGTTGAAGTCAATGAACAAAATCTGTGTTTACACAGATAGAAAGTTGAAAAAGAGAGGCGTATTTTAATATCCCTCTTAGATAATAGTGGACATTTTTCTTTCACACAACATTAAACTTAACAAATGGCTATTTCTTAAAAGTTAGCTACAAAATGGAATCTGCATCCATATAAGTCAACTTTTTGCACTTTATTATAGTAAAACGTGTTGGTCTATTTTGCATTTTGAATGAAATTTTTACTCATCCGTGATTTGGTAGCAGTAAGTTGCGGTCATTTTGAAATCATGGGTTCACTTTATGCATCTCTTTCAAATGTTAGTGTCTGTATCTAAAAATAAGTTAGATATTGTGCAATAAGTAAAAAAGCACACGTGTTAATATCACCCTGCTCTTACCAAAAAAAGTCTTTAAGTTTTGGGAAGTTACAAAGACAGACACTACTTGTCTAAAATTCTAATATTTTCTTGAAAACCCGAATTTCATCATTGGCAAAAAGACTATCTAATAATTGTTTAGGTAACAATAGCTGACTGTTCATTTTTAAGTAAATATGACTAAATGCCCAACTATGATTTTCGGAATATCTGAAGAGAATACACAGGATCCTAAGGTAGTTTCCCATGATCTATGCTCTTGGATAATGCACCCTCCTTGAGTGAATATGATGTGTTCTCTGTCCTATGATTAGCTTATGGCTCAATTGACTTTAAGAAAGGGAGATGGTGCTCAGCGGCCCTGACCTAATCAAATGAGCCCTTAAAAGGGACTTTTTCCTGAGAAGAGGTTTTGAGTGTGAGGAGGATTCGAATTGGGACAGTCCCCGTTGCATTGTTGATGGATGGGTCACAAGGCAGGGAAGGGTCCATGGCCACAAGCTTCCCTGAGTGCCCCGAGTGGCCCCTTCATTAGCCAGCAAGAAGATGGGAACCTCAGTCCTAGAACCACCGAATTGGACTTCACCAATAACCTGACTGAATGTCAAAAAGGATTCTTCCTTAGGACTCTAAGAGAAGAAAGCAGCTGCGCTAGTTCCTTGAGTGTTAGACCCAGCTCAGAGGGCCCAGCTGAGCTTCACCTGCAGAATTGGGAAATGATAAAATGCTGCTTTAAGCTCTTAAGTTGGTAGTAATTTATGTGGCAAGAAAAACTGGCACACACACAATAGTTTGCTAGTCTCTCAAGTAAAAATGGTGTTCCATGAAAAAGCAGCTAGTTCATCCCTGAAATCGGGGAATCTCAAACATATTTTTCCTCAAGACCAGCATCGTTCCTTGTTACACAGCAGAAGTGCAGGTGCATTCTGCTAACGACTAGCATTAATGCTAATATTAGAAAACCTAACGACAAGAGTTTTCGCTTGTAATCTAGAATCCAGAAAAATTGATCCTAGGGCAATTTACCGAACTCTGTGCGGAATATACACATTTCATGCCTGGACCAAACAGTTTTACTAATGGGGACTTTTCCCACCAGGGTCCTTTTAAGGTGAGTTATTAATGGCAGTATTTTGGAGACATTGACAAGAGGTAAGAAGGGTTATAGATCAGAGAAAAACTCAAAGGTAAGACAGACCCTGCTTTTCAGGAGAGAATGGTTTCAGATCTGTCTGAGGTTGGGGCAAGCACTTTTTAATATTTATTTAAGATTAGGAGTTTAATTATATGTTGATTTCTTAGCTACTGTGCTTTCAAATTCCTAAAGTGACCCTCAACTTCGTCTTAGATTTTATGAAAGCTCAAGCTATTATATCTATTTATTTATTTATTTGAGATGGAGTCTCACTCTGTCGCCCAGGCTGGAGTGCAGTGGTGTGATCTCGACTCACTGCAATCTCTGCCTCCCTGGTCAAGCAATTCTCCTGCCTCAGCCTCCCGAGTAGGTGGGCCTGCAGGTGCCAGCCACCATGCCCAGCTAATTTTTGCATTCTTAGTCTCAAATTCCTGACCTCAAGTGATCCACCTGCCTCGGCCTCCCAAAGTGCTGAGATTACAGGCATGAGCCACTTTGCCCGGCCTCTTCCTTATGCTTCTGACACATCTCTACTTGTACAACCTGTGCCAACTCCACCCATGTGTACTGGCTTGTGGGGGGCTTGGGGACAGCAGGAGGTGAGGGATGAGGACGGCCTTGGGTGCACCTGTGGCATGTAGATGCATCAGTACTTCCCATTGTGGACAGTCAGCTACTTAACGGGCACTTCATTCTCTGCTATTTTCTTCATACAGCGCCTCTCAGAAAACTCCCTGTAATTAATTTCTCAAAAAATGGCTTATGATGAAGATTGACCATTCAGAGAGAAATTCTATTATCCTCATGTAAAGAATTTAGAATTCTGTTCCTTTATTTTTCACCCCATTAACTTTCATTTAACATGTTATTTAATGAAATTAAAGAAGCTCTTCCAAAACCATGAGGAGGAAAACAGCAAAATAAAGGTATTTGCAAAATAAGAATAATTAAGGTAGGACTGAGAAAGGAGAAAATAAGTTTGAACCTGAAATACCACTGGAATTTAATAATTTAAAAATCCTAAGAATATGTTTCTCTTTGTGCCATGCTCTAGAATGCTGTAAGTTACCTTGCTATCTTAGTGACCGATGTTAAACTAATGGACTCAGTCCCATATGTGCCAGCTAACTGTTTGATGTTTTCTGAGGAATCAGAAACATGGGACTGATCCTAAAAACCTGGGCTAGAGACGTTGATGATTCACTTTCATCTGCCGTCACTAGTAAAAATCCACAGCCACACACACTCACTTACACACCCGAATATGTGGCCACTCATCTCAGATCCTTGAGGGGCATTGCTGCTTATAAAAGGAAAAAAAATGATTGGATTTAGGAGTTTCACAAATAAAATTGCATTCCTTTGAAAATCACGCAGAGGCTGGAGAAAAAAAAATGGTGTTTCAGGACCACCTGATCTTCCCATTATGCAAAAGTCGCAACTGGCCGGGCATGGTGGCTCACACCTGTAATCCCAGCACTTTGGGAGGCCGAGGCGGGCAGATCACCCAAGGTCGGGAGTTTGAGACCAGCGTGACTAACATGGTGAAACCCCGTCTGTACTAAAAATACAAAAAAAATAAATTAGCCGGGTGTAGTGGTGGGTGCCTGTAATCCCAGCTAGTTGGGAGGCTGAGGCAGGAGAAACACTTGAACCCGGGAAGCGGAGGTTGCATGCAGTGAGCCGAGATCACGCCATTGCACTTCAACCTGGGCAACAGAGCGAGACTCTCGAAAAAAAAAGTCTCAAACGTTAGATGTTCACATCTCCTGAAGCTGTTTTGGATCGTGTCAGCATCTGAAGGTGTTACAGCTTTGCTCTGTAAAATGAATCTCCCAGGGCTTAGAGTACATGCCTGGAACTAGGTATCATTTAAGCTTCCCATGGGTCATGAAGGAGAAATGTGCTGGTGTGTGTGTGTGTGTGTGTGTGTGTGTGTGTGTGTAAGAATAAAGACTTTGACCACCAATGCTGTGAGGTTTCTCCTACTGTGAAGTGTCACCCCTGTTTAAGAAGGTTAGCCCCCAGTGTTGAGACAACAAAAGGTCTATGGCAGCAGAAAGGAAGTGGTTATTGTTGAATGTGTTGTTCACAGATCTGAAAGGACACATGTATTCTGTTGAAGTGCTTAAAGGAAATAGTTTACAGTGAGGTTGTTGTGCCTGGACAGCTTTTATTATTCCCATAGATAGAAAAGGCAGAAGCAGTATCAGGAGTTGCCAAAGTCACTTTCCAGTAGCTTCTCCTCTCTCTCCCCTTTCTTTTTTCTTCTGTAAGCTCTATTGATTGATTAAATGGTAAGATGTGCCAATTTCTCCATTGGAAGTGAAGATGACGTGGCATGTTTCCAACTCCATGGACGTCTTACTTGGGGAGTGGAGAGGTTCATCCCCAGCTTCCTGTGTGCGGTGAAGTTTAACGGGAAAAGCTGAATAAAGAGTTGCATTAACATTCCACGTTGAATGTAACAAAGACTTGGAAAGTTCTTCATTTTCTGAGAAGTATTTTCCATGCACTTTGTGTAACCACACAGGCTAGACATTGCACTAGGTGCTTCTATTTGCCATGTCATGTAATCTTCACCACAGCTCTGAGGGTCAGGTGGTGATCATCTTTATTAAACACACGAGGAATCTGCGATTTAGAGGCATTTTTAACCTGGCAAGGTGACATCTCTAATGAGTTCCAGAACAATGATTAAGTCTTTCTTACAACTAACTTCAAAATCCCCACTGTGAGGGAGATTTTTCCTGTTAAAGATCCAAAAGCTGGACACACGTAGAACTGGAAATGCCTTCCACACAGGAGGAATGGAAAGCAGCCAGTATATATTTGTACATAATATGTGGCTGGTATGGGGGCTACAGTGTGTTCTATGTGAATGACACCCCTGGACTTCCCCAAGCTCATCTGACCGCCCTACCCAGAGTGCACTTTCCTCTGTGCATAGAGCATCTTTTTCGTTCATCACAGCACTCTTGCAAGAGATGTATTATTGCTCTTACATGTCAAAAGAAGTCACTGAAGTTAATTTTCCCAAAGTCTTCATTGTAATGAATGGTCCAGGGAAAATGGGAACTTTGTTCTGAGTTAAATACCACCCACTTTTCTTGAGATTCTGCATTATGTGCCTGGAAAAAGAATGAGAAACTAGACTTTTAGGGTAGTTAATTCAAGCCCTTCTTTTAACAGATGAAAAAATCCGAGGCTGTGGCTCAGGATTTCAGAACATTTCAGGGGTGAGATTGGAGCTCAGCTATCTGGGCCTCTAGGGCAGTGGCCTTTTTGCTGAAACTGGGGTTTTTGTAAAAACGTTGTTCACCTTGCAAGGTGAACACCTTGGAAGGCTTTTGATAATCCCAGTAGGAAATTTGGGAAATTATAGTGGCAAAGACTTTAATGCAACGAAGTATAGAAAAGAAGAACGAGTTAATAGAACAGGACACAAAATCTTTCTTGGAATTTGCGAATCGTCTGAGACACCTCTGTTTTCCACCTCAGGAGGGTTTTCTACATCTCAATACGTAGAGTGCAGGAAGAATGTTGTTTCTGAGCGCGTTGTCTCACCCCTTGTTCTGCCTCCCCCTTTGCGCTTTCTTATCTTCTCGCTCCTTCTATTCTCCCTCTGTTTGGAGGGAAAAGGTTTAAATTGGCTCCGGTGGTGTAAACCGATAGATCACTACAAGACTAAGTAAAACAATCTTTAAATTCCACCTGCTTCCAAGTTAAATCCTGCTTATGTCTGAAAACTTAAATCACAGGGAAATACGTGATTTAAATGGGGTCCCTGATTTGGTAAGGAAACGTGAGATGAATAGTTAATTGCCTTTCTTCCAGTAAAGCATCTTATGCTAATTACCCTTTACATTAGTAAAGAGTTCAGTCATCAAGGTTTTGTGGACATTCTCACGCTAATCCTCCATACTACCTTGACACAATGATTCATGTAATACTATAACTTCATATATGAGACATTTATCTTTTAATTTAGTGCTGCTATTAAGCGACATTAAATTAAAAGATTCTGATAACCAATCAGGAATATCAACAGTACAAATGGTTCACATTGTAAGTAAGTACCTCTGTCTTTCCTGGTGCAAAAGATGACTTATAACATCAGGCTTTCAGAGGATGATTTTCCTGACCAAGGAAAGGACACTGACTGATTTAAGGGTAGAAATAAAATTTGATAATGTAGTTCTTAAAACTTGGTTGTCAGTTTTTCTCAAAAGTCCCTATTCAAGGACATCAAAAATCCAATAAAAAAAATGCAGGAATGCCTGAATATTTGTAAGCTGACAATGGGAGCTGCAGTCAAAATAACCTTGTGAAGACAACAACTGTTTCCAGACTTTAAAAAAAGAAAGAGTTATTGTACTAACAACTCGCTTCTCGTAATGTACAGACCATGAGACAATAATAGATTTATCCCAAAGAATGATCCAATAGCGCATTATTTTAAATGTTAATAAAAATAAGATAGCATTTTTCAACCACCAAATTACTGAACATTTTCTTTTATGTACTAAAACAATGTGGGCAGAGAGGCTTTAGTTAAGATATTCTTATTTACATCAGGTGAAGTAAACTGGTCCTATAGTTCTAGAAATCAGTTTAGCCTAGTAGATTAACAGCCTTGACTAAAGAATTCTAGTTCTAGCAAATTATTCTTGGAAACTGAGCAGAATTTGATAGGTGATTGGTGTAATGTACAATTGTAGTAAGTGAGAAAAACTAATTTCTAATGATAAAGGAATTAAATACATTATGAATAATCTATTAAAAATACCTTAGGAAAACTGTTCAAAGAGGTCATAAAGGCAGAATAATAAATATTAACAACTTTATTTTTATTCTACCAATATTAAGTGTCTTCACCTATCAACTTATATATACAATGCACATAGCATTAATAATAAATACATAAACGTTCTAACAGTGGTTGTCTGTGGTGATGGGTTTACACAGTTACATTTTCTTCTTGATTATTTAAAAATTTTCTCAAATATTCTGCAATAACCTGTGAACCTAATCTTTCATGGCCATGTGACAAGGACCCTGTTTTTAGCTGAACTAAGGGGAACGTCCTACAACAATATCTTCATGAATATTTCACAGTTACAATAAATGATAAAAAAAGCATTTCATGGAAAAGAAAAACAAAATTAATACTGTGTGACTCAGTGTATATCTTTTATTATAGTGGGACTAATATTAATAGATGTTTAATCATATTTAAACAACTGACATACAAGTTCATTAAAATACTTCTGAGATAAGCGTTGAAAGAGTTGATTAATCAAAATCTGAATTTAAAAAATGTAGCATAATGGAAAGGTACGTTTACTAATATAATTTTGAAATGTAATAATTATCAATGAAAAAATGTAATAATTATCGACGAAAATAAAAATTTTAAGTGTAAGGTGTGGTTAAAGTCAGGGCTATAATTTCTGAAGCAGACTGTTGAGATATGGTAAAGCCAGCAGGTTCTAGTATCAGACTTCACCACAGCAAACCCTGCTTCTACCATTTCAAGCTTTGTGACCTTTATTTTTTAAGTTCTTTGTACCTCAATTTTTTATTTTTTTGTAAATGATTGTAGGAGTAGCATAAATCTTATAACATTTTGGTGGAATTAAATAGGATGTACTCCAGCATTTTAGTACCATGTACAAAATATTTTTTAAAACTATTACTCTTGATAATTCCGATGATGATAATGTTTTATTAGATGACTACCATACTTCCATCGGATAAGTGACCAACAGAGTTAAATGGAAAGTTGAACCATATTGTCAAGAGGCGTTTGAACCAGAGCAACTCCATCTTGAATAGGGGCTGGAGAAAGTAAGGCTGAGGCCTGCTGGGCTGCATTCCCAGGAGGTTAAGGAACTCTTAGTCACAGGATGAGAGAGGAGGTTAGCACAAGACACAGGCCATAAAGTCCTTCCTGATGAAATAGGTTGCAGTAAAGAAGCCGGCGCAAATCTCCCGAAACCAAGACGGGGACGAGAGTGACTCTGGCCATCCTCACTGCTGCACTCACATCAGCACCATGACAGTTTACAGTTTACGAATGCAGCATCACAAAGTTACTCTATATGGTCTAAAAAAGGGAGGCATGAATAATCCACCCCTTGTTTAGCATATCATCAAGAAATAACCATAAAAATGGGCAACCAGCGGCCTTCAAGACTGTTCTGTCTATGGAGTAGCCCTTCTTTTATTCCTCTATTTTCTCAATAAACTTGCTTTCACTTTAGTCTGTGGACTCCCACTGAATTCTGTTTTGCATGAGATTCAAGAACACTCTCTTGGGGTCTGGATCAGGACCACTTTCCAGCCACAGTATGGCAATAAATAGTAAAGTGCCATAGGCAACACCCATCCCTGTGAACAAGGAGCGGCCAGTGAATTAGAAGGAACCCAAACAGGGTGGAGTTCTGGAAGCAAAGGGCAGAAAGTGCTTTCAGGAGGAAGTGGCTGATTGTTTCAGAGTGAACAGGAGGGTGGACATTCGACCAAAATATTTAGCAACAGAGAAATTACAGCTGATGAGATTTAAGAGAGAATGGGAAGAGATGCAAAGAGAACCGTTCATCTGAGGGGTTTCCTCCATCATGTCCACAGGGAGTAGGGGCTGCAGCAGCTGCAGAGGAATGTGGAGGGAAAGATTCCTGTCTGTCTGCAGGCCGTGTGCCTTTTAAAAAGCTGTTTGCAGGCCGGGCGCTGTGGCTCATGCCTGCAATCCCAGCACTTTGGGAGGCCAGGGCGGGAGGATCACATGAGGTCGGGAGTTTGAGACCAGTTTGGCCAACATGGTGAAACCGTGTCTCTACTAAAAATACAAAAAATAGGTGGGTTTGGTGGCAGGTGCCTGTAATCCCGGCTACTCAGGAGGCCAAGGCAGGAGAATCACTTGAACCCGGGAGGTGGAGGTTGCAGTGAGTCCAGATTGTGTCACTGCACTCCAGCGTGGATGACAGAGTGAGACTCTGTCTCAAAAAGCTAAAACTAAATAAAAAAGGTTGCTTGCTTTGTCTTAGTTTGTAAAGATGGGAAATGGAACAACACATTTTTATAATTGGGTTAATCATGCAGAAAAGAAAAAATGATCATGCAGAAGAGGAGAAAAATGACGGAACCACATTTTCAAGGTGATGAGCTTTAGGGCAGACCTGGAGGCTCAGGTTTTAGACTGTGAAATGGTTCCATCCTTCAGGAAAACAACCACAGTAGAGACATAGCTCCTACTGATGTTTACAGTGTATCAGCACAAATCACACGTTAACAATAATTAGCAGAGAATAGGAAATTGGCTCAACGCTTACTTAGAAATTTAATGGGTCTTAGGGTGTTTAACTATACAGGTACTTTGATGAATAATTTGCAAAAAATAATTAAATGTGTGTTTAAAATATAAGGTGATCTGAATTTCGATGACTCTTCCTCAGTGTAAAACACAAAAAAATCTAATGAAGAAATGTTAAAATTTGGAGGGGAAGGGGATTATGTAATTGTGTCTATTAATGAATAAGTTAAACATTTTGAAAGCAATTCTAAATTCTAATATTAGAAAATAATTTATTATAGTGTAAATGCTCCTAGAAAAAGAGAGTCCTAGAGTAAAAGCGAAACAATGTAAACCATTGAGATTTCTCCAGGTGTGTTGTGTTCAAAACATGTTTCACTTAAAAAATTGATAAAGCTCTGAGATAATTCAAGAACAGTTTAATTTTTATCTTGCAATCATAAACTAGACAAAAAATGCTCCAAATAACCAATAAGCCATTAAAAAAATTCTTGTGTTGTTGTTTTTTTGAGAAACTAAAGGGTCTCACTGTGTGGCCCAGGCTGGAGTACAGTGGCACCGTTTCGGCTCACTGCAAACTCTGCCTCCGGGGTTCAAGCAATTCTAGTTCCTCAGCCTCCCAACTAGCTGGGACTACAGTCGCCCGCCACCATGCCTGGCTGGGGCTAATTTTTTTTTTTTTTTTTTTTGGGATAGAGATGGGGTTTCGCCATGTTGGCCAGGCTGCTGTTGAACTCCTAACTTCATGTGATCCCCTGTCTCAGCCTCCCAAAGTGCTGGGATTACAGATGTGAACCACCATGCCTGGTCAAAAAAGTCTAAATACACTGTTTTCCCAAATGTAAGTTAATATATATGATGGAATTGGAAATTCCATTTGCTGTGATACTATAAAAAGAAAAGGTAAATATAAAAGATTAGTAGCTTATGGAATGTGATTACTTCTCAAATTTAACAGAAATCTATTGATTAAATAATTGTAAGACAAATTAAATTAGAGAACAATAGTATGTCTGACATTGGGAGCTTAATAGATTCATTTATATGTTATATATGGAGCTTATTATATACATATATAATATGTAATATGTTATTAACTTTCTAAATACGTATAAACTTATATGTTATATACTTATATTTTATACATTTATATATATACATGATTATATACATATGTGTGTATGTGGACATCTATCTATCTATCTATCTATCTATCTATCTATCTGCATAGTGAGCCCTTGCAATTCTAAGGATTTACAAAGATTTCAATATTATTGCTACCAATAGTAGTAAATATTCTTTTGGTGCAGTACTTAAATAAAACTTTTTGCCTGGAAGAGGCATTGATAAAATTACAGTAAACATGCAAGTTAATGAAAAGTTGAAGACACAAGATTTATATTTTTCACCCATTTCTCCCAAACTCTGAATTCTTCAAATTTGCAAGTAGTTGGTCTCTATACACAAAACAATTTCCTCTGTGATTTGTGAGGATTTGCAATGGCATCTCCTCATATTGAGTACGTTACATTTGTTTGAAAGAATTTTGCATTTTATTTATTTGTTTGGGGTTATCTGATCTCCCTTTATAGGTAAAGCTTCTTTCAGACAGTGAGTCATATTATCTAATGAAGGACGGTACGGGTGTATTAAGAGCAGAAGATACGACTTGGTTTCCTAAGAGAGGTCTTGGAAGTTCAGTGGATCTTGAGGAAGGCAGATGTCTGGCTGTGGGGGCTGGGGCAGAGGGATTACAGGGAGGGACAGGGGAGCAGGCTGAGCTTTCCCAGGGGCTACAGAGGAGGGCAGGACGCTCCAGCTAGAGAGGGCAGAGAAAGAAGTGGCATCAAGTAGCAATAGTTGTATTCACTTCTTACATTATTGCCATTTTAAAAACAGTAATAAGAATCCACTGCCATTCAAATATAGTAATGGTTTCGTCACATTTTCAAACAACCTACAGAAAGTGAGTTTTAACCTAACCACTTAGAGATTATAGTGAAGGCAGCTGATGTAGGAGAAAAAAGGAAAACTAAAGTAAATGACACAACAAAATTAATGTATCCCTTAGGTATATTTATTGTGGTGGTTTTTGATTTTTCAGCCCTTAAACTAAAAATATTTCCCCCATAATTTATCTTCCTAAATGTTGTTATCAGAAAAGAGATTCGTCATATTTATTTCAAGTTTTTGTTTGTTGCTTTTGGGGAATTTTTTTTTTAACCTCACATACTTCTTGGTTTGCGATGAGAAAACCTAAAGTCAACTCTCAGCACCTTTGAAGCACACAATACATTGTTATTAACTACAGTCACAATGATGTATCAGGGATCTCTTGAACTTATTCCTTCTGTCAAACTGAAATTGTCCATCTTTTGACCAGCATCTCCCCAGGTCCCCCAGCCCTGGCCTCTGTAGACCACAATGTATTTGAAATTG
Organism: Homo sapiens; assembly: GCF_000001405.40. Classification (NCBI taxonomy): domain Eukaryota; kingdom Metazoa; phylum Chordata; class Mammalia; order Primates; family Hominidae; genus Homo; species Homo sapiens. The sequence continues at coordinate 3,712,811 of NC_000008.11, read as the reverse complement.
TTGAATCTGAATTACTAAGGAATCACCTTACCCAACAGACACCAGGGAATGTGAGACTAACTTTGGCGTGCATTGAAGTTATCTTCCACACAATAAAACAAAACAGAAACTCATATGAAAACTAGATAACTGGACTAACAAAGCTAAACCAAGCTCACCTCCGAAGATTGTGACTTAGCAGGTCTGAGATTAGACACAAAAGCTATGTTTTGTCATCAATCACGAAATATTTTTATCATTCATTCGAAGATCTGAGAATGAATGACTCAATAGTTTAATTCAGGAGAAAGAAGAGGCTATTGCAGGGATTTGCCATAGGTGACTTACCTTTCTCCTGCATTCCTGCAGCTCTAGTTTCTCTCTCTCTCTGTCTGTCTGTCTGTCTGTCTGTCTGTCTGTCTGTCTGTCTGTCTCTCTCTCTCTCTCTCTCTCTCTCCTGTTTCTTTGCAAATGAAAATCTCTGCTCAGCTCTGAGGGCAGTTGGAGGGAGGAAGAGGCGAGGGAAGGGTGTGGAAGGAAGAAAAGAGGAGAACCCAAAAAACGTGTGGGGAGAAGTGTCCAGACACCGGGTGGACCCTGGACCCACAAGTCACCTTCCCTTTTTGTACAACGTTGCCAAGATTAGCAGAGCTGTCCAATAAGAGAACGTAGTAACTTGAAACAAATTACAACTCAGGAGAGCAGATAGTCTACATCAGTATAACACTGTCTTGTTGAAAAATAATAAATAAATACATATATTCCCTAGTGGAGACGTAGCTTTACAGAGCATCAAACACTTGTTTGCAAGAGTACGAAATTTATTAGCTCATCCAGCTTTCAGATAGGTCCTGTCTATTCGCATACCTTGATCGTCCCTGAGAGACTACTCGAATTTTCTGTTTAGATTCTGAGTAAACAGATCTCTGTTTGTCTTATCTGTTTAGGGTGAGTGACATTTGCGTTGAGTTCTATGCTCTTTATTATTTCCCATTGATTTTCTTATTTGTTATTTATTGTGCATTCATCTCCTCTCTCCTGAGTAACTTCAAGATAAAGTTATTTCAGCACAAGATAGTGGGGGTGATACGTTTGCCATTTTGGATGAAAGCATTATCCTGGGGAGAGCTGGCAGAGGACTTCTGAGTGTGCCACCAGGAGAACCGCAGAAGTGGAAGCAGATACCCCATCTCGTGTTCCCTTTCCTGTGATATTTGTCACCACAACACAGAGATGAGGATGAGAAAACACACACATGAAGAGGCAGAAGAGAAGAGGAGGAAGACGCCAGGTGCCGTGGTTGCACCAGAGCAAGTCCCTCTCTGAGAGTTCCGTAGTGCAGGACGTTCATGAACCAGCGCCCTTTGGTTGGGGTTGGACCTGGGCTGGACGTTGTGAGCCTGGGATAGGTGACTGTCTGTCTCTGGGCTTTCTCTGAAACGGGCTGAAGATGAACAGCCACCCTCTGGCCAGCCCTTCCTTGGAGGGGGATCTGGGTGGCCCACCTCCTCGTCTTCCACAAGAGTCAATGCCAGGATCCCTGTGGTCTATTCATGGCTCTGATGACAACAGTTTTTTCCAGCCATGTAACCACATTGGACTTATTTCTTCATTGCTAAGCTACACTGTTGGGAAAAGCTCCTCAAAGTTTGTATGTTCCTTCCAGTCTCTCGTTTCTCCCTCTTACCCTTTTAAAATACCCAGGAGAAGTGCTGTCTTTTGGGGAAAATATTGCTATAGGAAATATAGCAAACATTTGCTATAGGAAAATATCTCAGACTTGGCAGTTTAGACATAATATGTGTTTCTCACCGCTCTTGATACTGGGAAGTCCAAGGTCAAGGCATGATACAGAAGCACAGCTGGCGGCATTGCTTCGGGATCTCACCCTCCTCCTTCCAGGTGGACCAGCTCCTGCAGCCCTGCCCTCCTGTCTCCATGCTCCCCAGCCAGTAGCCCACGTGGAAAGGTTTGGAGTTTGGGGCTGGAAGATTTCAGTTCAAATTCTGCATAGTCTTCCCTGTGCATCTGTGAGCCTTGCTTCCTGATATGAGCTGGCGGTGTCATAATTCCTATCTCAGATGGCTTTTGGAAGGTTGGAGGATGCCTCCTGAAGTGAAAAATACTGCACAGTGTCGCTGCAAAGAGGCTAACACATGGTTTCAGGGACTCTGAGGGGTAGAGTCCAAGAGGCATGGTCTCCAGGTGTGTCAGAATACACAGGGGCCAAGCACAGGAAGACCAGAGAGGAAGCAGGTGCTTAGTGACATCAGTGAGGGAAGACAGTCCCAAAGGGCAATTGTCCACCTAAGCCCAGCCCTCTGAATGTCAGTGATTTGAAAAGAGTAACAATCACTGCCACACACAGTCGGTTACTGAGTTGGCTGGGCTCAGGACACCATACTAAAGATGGTGCATTGATCGTCTCCAGCCTTACACAGTCTTGGCATCCTGGCATTGTATTTCGTCAGAGTTCTCCAGAGAAACAAAGCCAGTTGGTCGTGGGTATGTGTGTGTGCCTGAGTGTGTATAGATAGATTTATTTATACAGTTAACCCTTGAGCAGCATAGGTTTAAACTGCATGGATCCACTTATTTTTAGACTCTGTTCAATGAATGTATAGAAGCATTTTTTGGAAATTTGCGACAATTAAAAACAAAAAACTTGCAGACAACTCTTATAGCCTAAAAATATCAGGAAAAAAATCCAAAAAGGTGTGTCATGAATGCGTAAAATATATGTAGATATGAGTCTATATGTTAAGTAACTGTTTATGTTATTGGTAAGGCATCTGGTCAAGAGTGGGCTATTTTCATTTAGGTTTTTGGGGGAGCCAAAAGATATAATCAGGTTTTCAGCTGTGTGTGGGGGTTGGGGGTTGGTCAGTGCCCCAACCCCTTGTATGCTTCAGGGGTCTCCTGTATATACTTCATATCTATATGAATCTCCTTATGTGCATGTGTACACACACACACACACACGTACACACACAGATTTACTATAAGGAACTGACTCACATGATTATGAAGCTGACAAGACCGAAGACCTGAAAGGGGTAAGTCAGCAAGTTGGAGACCAGGAAAGCCGGTGTTTTAGCTCCAGTCAGAAAGCAGAAAGCAGGGAAAAAAAAAAAAAAAAAAAAAAAAAAAAACATGCTGCTGCAATTTAAAGCCCATCAGGCAGGAGGAAGTCTTGCCTCTACTGGGGCAGATCAGCCTTTTGTTCTATTTGGGCCTTCATCTGACTGGACCAGGCCCACCCACACTGGGGAGAGCCATCTTCTTTCCTGAGTCAGCTGATTCAAATGTTAATATCATCCATGACATTCTCACAGACACCCCCAGAATCTCCTCTGGCCCAATGTCTGAGCACCTTGTGGTGCAGTCAGGTTCACACATAAAACTAACCCTCACAGCTATTTACACATAGAGTCACAGGCTCAGAGGCAAGTAACTTACCTAGGTCATGGGGCCACCCTGTTGTAAGCAAAGATTTGGAGCCGATCTGCCTGCTCGCAGCTGCTGTAGGTCCAGTCTCATATGGGGACCTCAGAAATGTTTCCACTGGGCACTTAGTAAAGCCAAGTGTGGGATAGCTTAGAAGATCATAACATTTTATATTCTATAATCACAAGATGCATCCCCCATTTTTTTTCCGTAAGTGACCAAAAAAAAAAAATGAAACTTCTTAAAATGTTTAATGCAGGCCGTAGTACATCAAGAAACATATTTAACTCTCAGAATGATGATGCTAGAAGCCAGGACCTCTGTGCCTTTTGCACAGCCTGGAAAGCGTCTGGAGGGACTGGTGGTGTCTAGCACTTTATCTACAGCACGTAGAGCATGCCTTTCCTCTACTTGCTCCCCACCCACACAGATTCGCTAAACTGTGAGTAAATGAATATATGAATACATGAATGAGCAACTGGCCTTTTTATCTAAACTTTTTTTCATGATTATAGCAAACTTAGACAACTCTGTAGTCAGGATAGATACATGAAGTGAGTGATCTGCCTGAACAATTTGGGGAATGATAATGATTGGTGGAATCTGCCACTCCTAGTGGTAAATAGGATTGGATGTGTAAAGTCAGTGGCAGCACGTATTATTTTTAGCTTCCGACACTGATGCTGTAAGATGTGATCTTGCTGCTTGATAGCCTCACAATAATTATTTACAAGCTCTTTGACTTCATTGACTTGGTATCATTCACCTCTTAGAACATTTCCCATTTTCGGGGGTTGATAGAAAGCAGTTATGACTGGAAGTGCTGTGTGGATACAACATGGTTTTATGATCTCCAAGTCTTACCTGCTAATGGCTTGGTTTTGTTTCTTCCAGTGAAAAAGGCGATTGAGTTGAAGTCAAGAGGAGTCAAGATGCTGCCCAGCAAGGATGGAAGCCATAAAAACTCTGTCTGTGAGTCCCTTTCCTTTCTATCTGAGGATTGATACGCCCTTGTAAGCAGAGGAGAGAATGGAGCAGTTAAGAAGCGATCCCACCCACCACCTTCCCCACGTTATCTCTTCCTTCTTTTCTATATCCAAAAGTATTTTCTGGGAGAAAGAACATGCACTAACTTCACTTTGTTACGGAGGAATGTCGTGGTGGTTCTAACTCCTAACCATGTGTCACGTCTGCCCTGATCACTGTCTGAGACTGGACCCTCCAGATGTCTCTCTTAAGTATATGTGACACGGTCAGTCATTTTCATACCAGTCTCTCTCCGTCCTTGCACACCCCACACACACCAGACCAGACTGATCTCTGCAAAGGAGAAGTTGGTTTTTGTCTTTTGTCTATTGAAATATTATTGACCATTCACTGCCTGGAGAGTAAAGTAGCTTTCGGGCAATGTCTACGTCCTTCCAAAGAGAAAACAAGATCTGCAGACATGTCTGGCTGATGACTTTTGCACGTGCCCAGGACCTGGTAGATACCAGATCAATAGCTGTGGGAGGAATGAAGGTGTCTCCCACACCTGCCATTTTGGTGCCTTCTCCTAAATGCCCATCGTCATCACTCAGCCATAGGAAGCCCTGACCATGCCTGGACTGGGTCATGGTGCTTCTCTGCCAGAAGGGCCCTTTGTCCTTTAGCTGAAAGCCAACAGCCTATGTGCTCCTTGGAGACTCACTATGCAGACCCTTCTTTCTCTGCAGGTGCAGTCAGCTCTCCACTGGTTTTGCTCCCCACACGACCTTACACATGTCATAACAGTTACTGGGTACCAGCTTCACTGAGGGTTTGCTTTTCTTACAAACGAGAGATGAGTACCGTCTACTGAGATACCAAGTGGGTTGACTTCCTGTAGGGGCCGTTTTCTGCTCACGCTTCTTCTAGGACTTTCTACCCATTGGGTTGTGTTTTCTATGCTTCCCTGGCAATCTTTTCATGTGATGTTTCTAGCCTTGCTCTGTGGGTGCGCCTGTCCCCGGTGTTTTGCATCTGTGCATATTGTTTTTCCGTTGCCTAGCAATTAGTGGAAGGGCTGGGATGGACATCTGAACCCTCTCGGGTCAATTCTGTTTACATCTGCATGCTAGAGCAGACTTCTGCATGAGGTTTTATATGCAACAAATATTCTGCTAAAACTAATAAAAGAAACAATCACAATCTTTTGACAACGATACTATAGATTGACCTACATCTTTATCACTTTAGGATTTCCTGACAATTGCTTGTGTGACAATAATCCATAGTCTGTGCTCAGTCCTGCGCAGGTTGAGAGGACAGAGAGGTAAACATGTCCCCTGGGCCTCAGAGGCAGAGAGGAGCTACCATACTCTGACTACCCCTCTGGTCTTAGGTGTCTCCCACTTCCAAAAGAAAAAAAAAATCAATCTGTAAATGTTTGCATGGCACTTTCTATTGAATAATCACAGCCAGTCACCCTTTAATGAAATTAGATTGGAAAAGGATGGGAAAACTGAAGGGAAAAAAATCTGAGAAACAGTAGAAGGAATAAAGGGTTTTTTAAAAATAAAATTTTAACATTTTGATATTGTTAGCTTTTAGTATAGAATGTTCTGTAGAGGGAGATATAGTATTTACAGTAGTTTGAAAATGATTTTTATGATAAAACCCTGCACAAATGATCTAAAGTTCAATGTAGAACCACATATCCGGCCAAACTCTTACATTAAATCAATATCAGGTTGGATATCCGATCATTTGGGCATCAGATTTTTCTGCTACTGTAAGATTGAGGCAGAGCTTTTTTTCTTTTGTAATAAGGAGAATATCTCTTCTGTCCTCATCTGAACACAAATTGACATATGCATAATGACTCATTTGGTATTAGCGTTCTGTCCTTTCTTTTAACGGTATTAAAGTATTTGTCAAGCATGGGAATTAATCATTAGGGAAAATGAGGAATGGAAACCTTGAGCCTTCTAAGATGAGGAAGGTAATCAATGGTAATGTGTCATTCCAAAGAAAGGTATGACAGAGAAAATGAAATTGTTTCACTGATGAAAGGACATAGGGTTTGAAGCGACAGGCAAGCATTCAATAGCTGTGCAAGTATATGCCTTATTCAAGTTCAAATGTCATCGCTTACACAATTATTAATAAAATAGTAATCCTTTCCATAGGGTTGTCACTCCGATAAATCAAGAGGGGTGTAAACTGCCTGTTGCAGAGTGTGGCATGCAGTGGGCATTCTGTTCACCTTAGGAGCCTTCCATAGTAAATGGAGGGAAGTGAACCACACGGGGCGAACGGTAGGGGAGGTAGGCACAGGCCAGGCCACGTTCCAGCGCGTCATGCGTGCCTTAGGCGTTCCCACCATGAGCCCCGTTTCCTCTTCAGCACCTCATGAATCCTTTACCATCTGTAGGAGACTGAGTATGAAAGTGCTTTACGTTCTTGATACCCAAGGTGACACTGGCTGCCCACATGCCTATTGCTGACATGAGGATTTCATCTTCTGTCTGCAGGGAGTGAAGTGCTGGTGCCTTCAGTGGAGGCCTCATTCCTTTTCAAGCCATTCCATTAACTTGAGTCTCTCCACTTCTGCTTCACCCCAAGATCTGGGTTCCTCTGGGAGACCACAGTTCTTGAGATTCTAGAGATTAGATCCAAGCACACAAACCTCTCTTGCAGAAGTGATATAATCCTTTCCCCAACTAAGGGTTTTGTTGCGGATATGACAGAAGATTTATGGAAAATGTCTAGCTCAGGGTCTGCAGGCACTGTTAGCTCTTGTTCCACAGCCCCCTCTGTTTGCTTCCATCTTAGTATTTTTTATTCTGTAAGCTGGACATTTTTGTTTGTTTATGATCGTTCTTTTTCAGAAGACTCCCCTGGGAGTAAAAGAAGTGACAGCAGTGGCCAGGGAATTATCTGTTCACTGTAGAGTGTGAGGCTGTCCCCGTTAAGAAGTTTTCATCCAGTGCTGGCTTCACCAAAGCCAGACAGGGGTGGACACTGCTAGCAGCTCCTGTATTCTGCCCGTGGGAAGCACCAGGGTATGGATGGAAGGCTGAGCTGCCTCCTGCAGCCCCCTGAAGCTGTCTCTGCTCCAAGGCACAAAAATCAGAGGTCACAGCTCTTTGCAGAGGGTGACCTTGTGCGTTCATGTCCCTCTGGATTTCAGCACCAACTTGTGCCCCTTGTTGCCTTCAGTGCAGAAAGCAGCCACAGCTCAGTGGCGACTCCTTCCCCTGCCACTGCCCTGTCCCTGGTGGTGTCCCCAGATTCACCCTTTTGCAAACAGAGCCTTTGAAAGTAGCCTTGCCTGACTGGCTTCTTCTCCAAATGACATCTGTTTCCTGGTGGGACCCTGTCATGGTGATAGAAAATGTTCAAGGTTTTGGTGAATTCGAGAGGGCAAGTTCTACCCAAAGTTCTAGATGTTAAAAAATAAAAGTAAAAACAAACACTGGGCAAAGCAAGAAATCCATGCCCTCTGACTATATCAGATCCACCCAAAGTCCTGTTCATTATTACCCTCCCCTCTGCTCACTGTCAGGGCATCAGCAAGAGTTCAGCAAGTGCAGGAAGAAAAAGAGAGAGATCATGACAAGGAATGGGAGAATTTCCCTGACAGCCTCAGGAAACTTGCAGTTTGATAATTAAACAGATCAAGGTCAGTGGTCTGGTTGTCTAAGGTGTTATCCAAGCTTATTGTCTCATGACCAAGAAAATTAAGGGGCGTGGCCACAAAGGGTGAGGTTGGAGTGAAAGTTTAATAAGCGAGAGAAGAAAGCTTTTCACAAGGCAGAGGGGATCTCAAATGGGTTGCTGCTTTGACAGCTGAATTACAAAGCTTTTATGAGAAACTCCTCTTATCTCTCTAGCTGTTTGAGTCACTTTTCTAATCTGTAAAGCTGTCTGCATAACTACCCCTTATTTATGTTGTTGTGGTTATGTCCCTAGGCAAGTACAAAGTACCACTTCTCTTGTTTGTATAACTGTGGATTTGTTTTAGGAAGGCCCCCTCCTCCCTGTGTGAGTTCCTATGGAGCCCACTGGGTATATGCCTGAAAAAGGGAGGAAATTTTTCCTGGGAGCTCGCTAATCACGCAAAGAACAGAAGGCTTCTGTGCTGAATCCTGCTTGCTCATCTGTCCAGGTGCAGACTGACTTTTCCCAGGCTGCTCTATTTTTGCCTGTAGCTGTGATTTTTCAGGCCGGCTGCATCTCCAACAACCAGCCTTCACTGTCTAACTGACTGGTTTTTTTCTTCTGCCACAGTGATGGAGGACTGCTCTAATTATAAGACTTAAGAGAGCTAAGTTTTTTTGTTTTTGTTTTTTGAGATGGAGTTTCACTCTGACACCCAGGTTGGAGTGCAGTGGCAGGATCTCAGCTCACTGAAACCTCTACCTCCCGGGTTCATGTGATTCTCCTGTCTCAGCCTCCCAAATAGCAGGGAGTACAGGTGTGTGCCACCATGTCCGACTAATTTTTTTGTATTTTCAGTAGAGATGGGGTTTCACCATTGGCCAGGCTGGTCTCAAACTCCTGACCTCAGGTGATCTTCCTGCCTTGGCCTCCTTAAGTGCTGGGATTACAGTCATGAGCCACCATGCCCAGCTGAGAGTTAAGTTTATACAGGTATGTAATAGCTGGCCATAGATTTAAAACAAACTCCTGCTTTTTTCACTTGAAAGATGAAAGTGCCTGTGTTTGGAAGTCGTGCACATCCTGCAGGCTCATCTCTTCCTCTGCTTCTTCCTGCTAGGCCAGTGAAATTTTTCTACCAGACCTACCTTGATTGTACCTTTAGTTCAAGATGAGCCCCTTGAAAGTTTGGGGTTTTCCCATCCATGACCCACAGATCACACACCATACCTCCTCATCCCCTGACAGCCCAAGCTACCAGTACACAACCAGTATCTACTGATGAATGAATGAATGAATGAATGAATGAATGAATGAATGAATGAAAAGGGAGAAAGGAATCTCTGTGCTTTGGAACAAAAGCCCTATAGATTCTTTCATTTATGCCTCCTAATCTGATGAGTCTTTTGTGAATTTTGCTTTGGGAACCCACGTTCATCAGCTTCTTTACACAGCCTTGCTTTCAACCCTCCACAATTCATTTCATCATTAACATGCACAAAACCTAACCACATAGGGCAGCGCGACTGTAGTCTTTAGAGATATTTCAACTCTTCTGTGCGGTGAGGGCGACTCTCAACATTAAGTGTAGAATGAGAAGATTTAGAATTTCCTTTTTCACCAGCTTGTAATCAGTAATGTTTGAAGAAAAACCCAAAGATATTAAGATAGTCATTAATATCTTAAATATCTAAGTATTTTATAATTACGTGGTTTATATGCTCTAAATTTTGAATTATTTTATTCTTGGAAAAAGTGCAATGTAAATGGGCAATATTATGTCTCCAAAAGGGCATCTGGAATAAACTGAGCAAGCACCCATCCCCCATTTTCTTTCTCACCCTGAAATGGTGAACTGCTCTTTATTCTGAAAGTAGATTATTTCAATACCAAAGAAATTATTAAACTGACACTGTATATATTTGTTTGTTATTGAGACAGAGTCTCGTTCTGTCACCCAGGCTGGAGTGTGGTGCGATCTCAGCTAACTGCAACCTGCACCTCCCAGGTTCCAGCGATTCTCCTGCCTCAGCCTCCTGAGTAGCTGGGATTACAGGCATGCACCACGATGCCCGGCTAATTTTTCTATTTTTTAGTAGATATGGGGTTTCACCATGTTGGAAAAGCTGATCTTGAATTCCTGACCTCAGGCGATCTGCCTGCCTCGGCCTCCCAAAGTGCTGGGATTACAGGCATGAGCCACCGCACCTGGCCAGCACTCTATTTTTTAATGATGGTAACAGTACCTGTCATTTCTTCTTCTTCTTCTGAGCATTCTTCTTGGCAGAAACCAGTTTTAGCAGCTCTCAATGTGAGGATTACTAAAGTAGATAATCTGTGGATGCCCTTCTAACTCCAAAATATATACATCTCTAGGAAGAAAGATAAACAAAACATTGGTTGTTATTTTGAAGTAGAGATTTTCCCCACATGTAAAGTTAAAGACAAATGACTTGCCCAATTCGATATTGATTTGTTGTAGCTCACTCAGATGAGCTGATGGGACATGCTGTGTACGGAGGAGCATTTGCAGTTACAACACTTTGTAGCCATGCAGGATGGGGCAATTAATCCAGAACCATTATTTAATAAAAAGATGATTTTTTAAATGTGGAAAACTGAGCACTCTAATGCATTGCCTTTATGCCCCTGGGAAAAATAACAACACAACATTATAAAATAAATGCCCCTGGAATTCTCCTGTATTTAACCATAAACGTTCACTTCCTTGCTCTTTGTTTGTATTGGGCAATCAATGTTTTCTTACCCTGAAAAGAAAAAAAAAAGAGACCTGAAGCAAAACAGAATGATATTCGCCCCTAGTTTCCAAAGAGACAGTTCAGTTAATGAAAAGCAACTGATGGACTCTTGTCCTTCATAACGACACACAGTGGTTCCATCTCCCTCTGGCTTTTGTTGTGGCTCAGGCATAATTTGGAAGGGCAGATTTTAAAACTTGTATCTCTGTTTTTAGAAGGCCACATAAAGTGATGTCTCAATTACTGTATATACTTAATGATGTAATTATAACTGTAGAGTGTTTGGATTGTCTTTTGTAAATACCCTGACTGATTGAACCATTTTGCAAAATATACTTCAGAAAATAATTTTCCACTTGTATTTATCTACTTATAATTATAATATTCGTAGTTTTAGTTGTCTTAAGTTTGGAATAATTTATGAACAAATAAAATACACTAGTGGGTAATCTTCTCTTAATCGTTAAATTCCAATATGCTAAAAAAAAAAAATAAGGTTTAATCCTATATCCTGAAGAGTCTTTTGCCCTCATGTCAGCCTCTGAGTTTAGCACCATAACCGCCAGCAGCAGCTTCGGTTCAGCCCGGGGACAGACTTTCGCAACTGTTCTCTCTCTGGGATCTGTAGAAGCTGAGACAAAGAAAAAGAGAAGTCATGAATTATCATGAATAGGGCTACCATGAGAAATAAAGAGAGAAGAAAACCAGCTCACTCATATTCATCTTCGGAAAGTTGTCCCGAGATGATCCAATTCCAGAATGGACTGAGGTGGATTACGTGGCTTAACCTGCATTTCTCTTCTACGGGCCAGAACTTCCTATCCACGGGCTTACTTGGGAGTCACGTTGATGTCTAACAGGCATCTCTCTCCCTCTTACCTCTCACAGAAGAAGTCTGTGACTTCCACCATTCAGTCCCTAGACCTTCACAGCACCCCTCTCTCCGGCCTCTTGGTGAGCCCTGACTGCCCCCCGACATATCCCAAGCCTTTCTCGTTACCCCCAAACCACCGTCGCCCCTCACCTGTATCATCATGTCATCCTCAGCCTCTCCCTGCCCTGACAAAGTCCCACCCTGCAATCAGAAGGATCTGGGTGAAATATCAGTAGAACCACATCCTTCCTCTTCTCCAGACCCTCAAACGTTTCCCGTCACAGGCAGAACGAGTCCAAATTCCTTATGAAGACCCAAAGAACTCCTTTGCTCCCACCCTTGCATCCTGGTCCTCTTGGTTTCTGGGCTGTTTCTTGAGGACATTGGACACTCAACACCCCAGGGACTTTGCTCTCCTCTCTCCTCAGCCTGAAATAATGTCCCAAAGAAGCCGTATCACATCCTCCCTCCCTCACATCGTTTCTTAAAATTCGCTTTCTCTGGCAGCTGTCACTGATCACCCTAACTAAATATCATGTATCTTGAGCATCCACAACTTCTCCCATCCAAGTACTAACCAGCCCCGACCCTGCTTAGGTTCCGAGATCAGGTGCATTCAGGGTGGTATGGCTGTTGACTTGAGCATCCACACCTTCTATCTTCTTCTGTTACTTGCTCTGTTTTTGTGTTTTTTAAGTTATTATAACATATTACATATACATATACGTGTATGTTTATTTGAGTGTGTATCATAAACACACACATAAAGTAACCCTGTTCATTTCATTTCTCTCACATCTCCCAGTAGAATATAAACTGAACTACATGAGGGCAGGTATATTTTCTTTTGTAAAAAATTATTTTTCGTATTTTTTCCATAAGTTATTGGGGTACAGGTGGTATATGGTTACATGAGTAAGCTCTTCAGTGGTGATTTGTGAGATGTTGGTGCACCCATTACCTGAGCAGTATACGCTGCACCATATTTGTTGTCTTTTATCCCTCGCCCCACTCCCACTCTTCCCCCAACGTCCACAGAGCCCTTTGTATCATTCTTATGAGGACAGGCATATTTTCTACTTTGTTCTCTGATCTCTACTAAGAATTTATAAGAGTCTCAGGAACACAACAGATGCTCAGGTGGTGAATTGAATAACCCAGGGATGTAGTTATGGGATATAACCCAGGGATGTAGTTATGGGATATAACCCAGGGATGTAGTTATGGGATATAACCCAGGGATGTAGCTATGGGATATAACCCAGGGATGTAGTTATGGGATGGTGTGTCGTGTGGGAAGAGGGTGCTCATGTTTTTCTTCAATTAGATTTTTATATTTCACATCTTCACTCACACATTCAACAGTCCCTCGTTGCGGAGCATCCAGAAGCTGTCATAAAGATGATCAGCATCTGTTCCTTCTCCAGGGGAAATTATAGTCTTATAGTGTTTCAGATCACCAGTAAATATTTGTCACACAGAGTGCTGTCATAACGGTAGTAACATTTACTGATGATTGAGTAAAAATGGAAATTCACTATCTTTCAAAATATTAGTAGATCAACCCATAAAATATAGAAATCCATAGAAATAGAGGATGGAAAGCCGTAGGAAAGCAGGGCCATGTGAGGCGCCACCAAGTCCTCTTTAAAGGACTTCCTCCGTGGCTGAAATGTCTTATCTGTAGACTTGCTAGGTACTGGCTAAGAGAAAACTGTGCCCATTATCAAAATGTTATGTGTTGTATGGAGAAAAGCACAAATAATTAAATAATTCATCCATGTCAGTAAAACACACTAGTTTCAGAATCATGATATCCACTGCATGGAAGGAAACAGGAAAATTATGAGAAATTTTTCAAGTTTCTGTCACAAGGTGATAGCAGCTGGTAATAAAAACTAATTGTCAGTCTACATTGTGTGCTCTAGTCAGTCAGAAAACACAGTGTAATGTACTAATTTTCCTCCATCCCACTGCTGAAGGAGTTCATTTGTTACTGAGTCAATGGCTGAGACATGCTTGCTTTTAGGAAGGTCATTTGAAGAATTTCAGCGAATGCATGCTGCCTTTCTGCAGAGTGCTTCGCTAGATCCAGAGCTTGAGGTGGGATGTGGGTACAAGGAGGGTGGGATGAAAGGAAAGGAGAATGGAGTGAGGACCTTCATCAGCCTGGATGCCTGACTTAGAACACAGGATACCACAGAATGGAAGTTGTGACATGTCCCCTAATCCAATCAATTGCAAATGATGCTTATGTAGTTTCAAGCTCAGAAACTTTATTTCAGAAATCATTTTCCCACGGACATTTTCATCAGGCCATAATTTTCCAGATAACCAGATACATTTTCACTCTATTAGTCCGCATATGGATAATCTTCAGTAATGAACATGATCCTCTTTACTCATCTGTGAGAAACACATTTTGCTTCACAATAATATTATTAAGGAATACCAGGCGTGTTACTAGATTGCCAGAAATGCCTCTCATCATCAGGTCTTGCTTTTAGGGACGCGAGTGCTGTATTAGGAACGTGTGATTTATCTGAATGGTAGTAGGCCAGAGTGATTTCTAACACTGCTGCAGAAGCAGGCATGCCTGCTAATCCGTGTGCCAGATTTCTAGCACTAAGTGCTGTAGGTCTTGCTTTAAAGCAGATTTTGACGGTAGGAAAAATAATAGCGCCATTAACCTCTAACAGTAGTATAAAGGCTTAATAAAACAAGAAGGAGAATTGCTCTAATCTAGTTTGCTCCATCATAAAATGTAATAATGGAGTTTTGCAATTGTTAAAGACCCTGTTTTCTTAGCAAAGACCCATCTCCATATAAAACAAATGTAGTAGATTGTAAAAAATGCTTCATCAGTCAGGTAAGTAAATTATGCTTCCACTTTCTAAACAGGCGTTTGTCACTGCAGAAGCTAAAATATCTTTTCAAGTGCTATGGAAAATATTGCTGTGAAGGGGACTGCTGTCTAGATAGATTTGAGAACAGCATCACTGGGAACTAGAAGCAAAACAAGATGTTTCATCAATTATTCATCATACCGTTTATATCATATAATTTTTTAAATAAACAGAAAAAAAGGATCTATTAAAATACATAAAACAATGTATAGCCTGATTGGATTACAGGTGGTTAAATTGAATTGTAACCATAGAAGTAAAATGCTTTTCAAGTGGTTTCAGCATACAATTAAAGAATATAATTGATTCACTAAAGGGAAAAACTCACTTTGCGTAATGGCTAGAGAGCACATTCTTTTACCTCAAATAGTGAATGAGAAACAACCTGGAGATGATGGCAGACCTAAAAAAGGAAGTATAAATTTTAGCATTTCCATCACTACTTTTTAGAAGTGCATTGTAACACATGAATTTTCATCAAATTTTATATAAGAAAATAACTAAATTACTTTCTATTCCTATGTAATTGGATGAGGCAATCTCTGAACCTCTGGAGGATTATGAATGATTCATGTTTGGCGCCCACAGAGTCAAAACAATTCCAGCAGCAGTCAGAAGGGGGAACTGCTATATTCTTGTAATAAAATCATCTTACATGAGCAAGTCTTTGTTAGTGAGTAACTAAAGTCAGAAACTTTAAAAACTAATCAATGAAGCTTTCTTATCAATTAAAGAATTCCATTTTATACACAAGCAAACTAAGTCAGCAAGATAATTAATTAGCCTTGATATAAACATAACGAAGAGACCAAGAGTTAAATATCAAGATGAACTCAGATGATCAAAGGGAATTCAGAAAAAGTACATATCTCTTAAGCCTGGTTTTATTTAAAACACATTTTAAAGGTGTAAGGAGAAAACCGAAAATGTTTTCTGGTTAAATCCTTTCATTAGAGTGCTTACAGAATTACAGAATCATGAAACTGAAACTGACTACCATTTTCTGGAGAGAAATAAGTTTTGCCCAGACTTGATAATTTAGCCTCACTGAATGAAAAGTTTCAAAAACAAAAAAGCCAATTTAGACTGAATGATGATTATGCTGATTATTGATGACCTAGCAATATTGGGCCTGCAGTTATTCATGGCATCAGGAGAAGCTGCTACCTTGTGTCTGCCCTCAATGGAAGAGGAATGTGACCACATTCACCAGAACCCATGACCTACTGGATCCTGGGGCCCCTACGATCTACAGTCCCAAACTCTATAGTCCACGTGGCCCATATATGGAAGGCAAAGTGACTGATAAAGTGTTCTCTTTCATAAATCTATTTTCATGGGAGTTCATATGAGCTACACTAATATAGAAATAAGGGAATTTAAACTATGGGAATACATTTTAATTCAAATGATAAAGAGTAGAAGAAATATATTTTAGAAACTCCTGTTGACCTTATTTCCATATTCTTGACATCTAGTTTATAACTTGATCCTATACTTTAACGATTAAAATGGACAATTGGACTTCCCTTACTGACTGTTGTCTTATCTGCAAAATGGATGAGCTTTAATGTGCATCAGGGTTATATAATGATGACGTTTCAATCTTCCAAAGCGCTCATTTTTTTCCTGATCTGCCCAAATTAATTACCACACTAATTGGATTAAATTAGATCATTTAATTACACCAAATGATTATATTGATTTGCTTTAGCATTTCTTTCGTCACATCCGTTGGGTTCACTGCATTTGCATTATATTCACAGAGAAGAGATGTGCAGAAGCAGTCCATGGTAGCTTATGTCAGAGAAGAAAACTAAGTCACGTTTGAAGATATGTGAAAGTATACGACAAGTCAAAGAGATAAGCCAAGGTGAACACATTGGGTAATTAGTGAAGTGCTTCGGAGATGGAAGGCACCATATTTTGCATGCACTGCATATTATTATTATTAGAATACTTGCAGGAAGAGCAATGTGCCTGTCTAAATTGCCTATTTTATGGTTTGAACTGTCTGTTTGAAGGGCATATGGAATAACATCAACCATGTGACATCCGAAGAAGATACGTTCATTATGTATCTGGGAAAACCATGGCTTCAAGTGAAAATTCAAGGTAACTGATATGTAGGAAATGTCTCATTCCCTGTCCCCCATAAGAAAATCTTAACAGCTTTTTTTTGCACGTGTGCAAATATACAAATGGTAGGTCTTCCACAAGTCATATTTCTAACACTGGAAAAAACTATCCCATATCTTCAAGTGTAGTTTTTGGAAGGTCTGATTTGTCTTGTTCCTACAAAGATAGAAAATAATTAGAAAGATATCAAATGAGTACAATGAATATACCTTGTAAAAAATATAATGGTAATTTCTGTGAAATGAAACAAATAATGCTATTTTAAGTTGGAAAAGTGTTTGCTGGTTGATTTATAATCTGAATCCAGTTCATCATGTATTGAATATGCTCAGACTAGGGTTTAGCTGTCATCCTTCCTTCCAGCCAAACTGCTGTTTTAGTAACTTTTAAATACAATTTGCTAGAATCTTTCTAATCATTATTTTTAATATATTTCGACCTAAATTTCCTTTCTGGATGCTTTTGTGAAACACGTGAACATTTTCCTCTAGTACTATCATCCTTCAAAATAATATTATTCTTTTATTTGGTGGAAAGCAATTAGCAAATATTATATTATTGTTCTCTTCTGTATCTGTGATAAACGCTAATTATCATAAGGTAAAGCCAGATTTGTATTTCTCATGATTTTATATTAATATTCAATCTACCAAGAGGATTAATTGGAGTGTACCTAATAAAAGTGAGTTTTAGCATACAGGACACGTTGAGTCATTATTTTTTTTTGTGGTTATTTGTCATTTCTTACAGGAAATTAAGTGTTTTTTGGTAAAGGGCATTAGCTTGCAAATTCTGCATCGCGGCACTATAATTTTAGATGGATTAATATCCTTGCCCATGTTCCAAAGTCTTCCAGCGTTTATTGCATCTATAAGATAAACCTGGTTTTCAGACAGTGTCTTCGAGGTCCTTGGAAATATGTCCCCCTGTGCTCCTGCAATATCCTTGTACTACACTTCTTCAATAACCACACACACACACACACACACACACACACGCAGGGCCTCCAATTCTTTTGTGATGTTCTTTCTTCCACGTGACTTTTTCTCTTCCAAATTCCCTTTCATGTCTTCGTCTAATGTCCTAATCATCTTTAAAAACTCAGGTAGGATACAATTTTCACTACTTTTCTTGACATACTGAACTGGCAAGCTACACGTGGTGCTAATGATGTGCGATTTCCCCTCACACCCAGAATGAATCCAGCAGGTTTCTATGGTCTTTAGGATCCGGTATTGCTTCATGTCCTGGCTCATTCCTTGCCGCGTTCCCCTGGCTCCCTGCACTTTCTGTTACTTCTGCTTGGACCGCTCTTTCCACTTCTTTTTTGGTGTTGCTTTCGAAGCAGAATGGCACCTGCTTCCTCCAGGTTCTCCCCTTTCATTCCCTCTAAAGCCCACAGCAGTTCAGTGGAGCACCTCCTCCACTGCTGTGTCCACCCACCCAGCCTCCCTCTCATGCCCAGGGCTGGGTCCTTCCTTTTCTCCTGAGTTTTGCAGGGTGGGGAGTCTCGGGCCTGGCCTTCCACTGAACCTGAACCTGGGGATCTCACCCGGCCTCCTGATCTTAAAGACTGTCTCTATGCACATGCTTTCCCAGATGGTGTTTTCGGCCTGGCCGTCTTTCCCAGACTCATGTATGCAGCTGTCTGCCTGACACAGTTACTCCCTGGTGTGCAGCAGGCAGAGCTGTTGATCAGTCTTCTGGGTGTCAGTTTGGGAAAATCCTCAGCCTGAGTGACCCCTGTCTGTCTGCTCAGTCATGCTGCTGTGCTCCTGGAAGCCGACGTCTAGGAAGTGAGGTGTGGACCCCTGAGCATGACCAGGCTCTTCCTGGACTCCATGACAGAGCTATGGCCTCCCTGGGTTTCAGAGGTCCCTGCCCCATCTATGGACACATTCACCTTGTTGGTGAGATCTGTGAGCCCCTCTCCAGCATGTACACACACACCACGCCACACACAGCAAACACACCTATACCCAAAACACACACAACACATAACACTCCAACACACACAACACACACACACTAACACAACACACATACCCAACACACACACAACACATAATACCCCAACACACACAACACACACACACTAACAACACACATACCCAACACACACACACCCCTATATCCAACACACGACGCACACACCATAACAAACACACACACACACAAGACGCCAACACACATCTATATTCAACATACACGAAACACACATACAGCACATAATATACCCTAACACACACAACACACACACCATAACAAACACAACACACACACACACGACGCCAACACACATCTATATTCAATACACACAAAACACACATACAACACACACACCATAACAAGCATAACACACACAACACATACATTTTCTAATTCCCGTTCTGTTTCATTTTTCTCTTTATATCTTTTTATTACCTAATAACTACATATATGTACACATTTATTTATTTTGTTTATTGTCTCTCTCATGGAATAAGGGTGGGGATTTTAGTGTTCTATTCACTGTAGAACTGTGCTGGGGACATTGTAGGGCTCAGTAACGATATGTATAATGGATAAATGAATCTCCAGGCGGCTGCCTGCTGCCATAATTTGACCAGCAATTTCAGTATCAACTCCTCGTATCAATACCCAGCTAAGTCAGCCCACCCACAATTGTCAGCCTATCCCACACTCTTAACAAAAGTCATTATATTCCACATTACTCGGATTTTATCATTTCTTGGACATCTGACAATAATTGAAAAAAAAATTATCATATATATATTTCATTTTCTCCTAGAATATAATCTCATTGATAAGTGACCTTGCATCCTACTTGGTTATATACCCAGAACATATTATGCCTGTTGTCGTGACAAGCATTTGATGAACAGTATTGATTCATTGACTCCTGACCAATTTTACTCACTATAGCAAATTACTTGACACAGTGTGGGTGACTATCTATTGGTATCTATTTATCTCTATGTATTGATTTGTATTCAACATCTAGAATAAATGTATTCCTGATTATTACTAAGAAGAACTTTAATATTGTAAACCTTCTTAAGAGTTTACCAATATAATATTAATGTTACTTTTGATGATAAAGAAGTCATATCCAAGTTAATCACACAAAAAAACAGGATCACTTTTTTTTACCCTTCTATTTTGATAATTGAATGGCATTTTGTTAGGATATAAAGATCAAAGTACCATTAGAATATTAACATTTTTCCAAAGAAACATTACTAATGCCTAATAATATTTTTGCCATGCATATTAGGGTCCAGAGGTCTCAGAATAGCCTATAGTAAAAGGCACATGGGCCTCAGAAAAGTTCATTCTCAGAAATTGTTGTGGCCAGGCGTGGTGGCTTATGCCTGTAATCCCAGCACTTCTGGAGGCCGAGGCAGGCAGATCATTTGAGGTCAGGGGTTCGAGACCAGCCTGACCAACATGGTGAAACCCCACCTCTACGAAAAATACAAAAATTAGCTGTGTGTGGTGACATGCCTGTTATCCCAGATGCTCGGGAGGCTGAGGCAGGAGAGAACACAGGATGTGAAGGTTGTAGTGAGCCGATATCGCGCCAGTGCACTCCAGCCTGGGTGACAGAGGGAGACTCCGTCTCAAAAAAAAAAAAAATTATTGTTAAAGTATAAATGTCTGGTGGCTTAGGTCGAAGGAGGCACGTTAGAAGTGACAAGCTCCACAGAAAGCAGCGAGTCTCTTTCCTGAGTCTGTTTCTCTGAGTCTCTTCTTTTGGGTATGTGGTCATAACTTGAAGTTCAGTGGGGTGTATACAAATTGTGGTGGTGCTGGTGAAATCGCAGGATAGCGACTAAGGGGGCTGTGAAGGATTTTGCCCCCAGGACACTGAGGTGTATGGGGCATAACAACGTAAAGTCAGGAGAAACAATGTTGTAGGGCCATGGTCATTAGCGGCTGGGATAGGAGACCCGGATGCAGTGGCTTCCCCAGGCCTCTCCAGATGAGTCAGAGGATGATTGCGAAGTTGACTGAGATCTCACCCGGAGCAGGCAGATCGCTGAGTGACGGCTCTGCTGATGATGAGACCAGATGCCCAGCATCCTGTCTCATGAGCTGGACAAAGACCGTCATTCAGGGGAGTGAAATGAGAGCTCTTGATTAAAATAATATTGGAGTGTGTTTTCACAGTGAAACATGCTTAATCTTGAAGCCATAGAAGTCATAGATTCAAATTCTGCCTGAAAATATTCAAGTTACAGACTCTCTTTCATCATATTTTTAGATCACTGAAACTGCCTCTTTTTTTTAAACCAAAGAGAAATAAATGTGTAAAAAATGGTATTGAGCCTCATTTTCTCAAATTCTAAAATAGCGATAATATTTACCTTATAGGGTTTTATTTGTTTATTACATTGCTATAAAAAATACTTAGCCCAGTGCCTGCCACGAAAGGGTACTTAGGAACACTGTCAGTTGTTATATATTTTTGTTAGGATAGGATAGAAGCCAAAGGTTGGAAGATTATAAAGTTATGTGTAAATACAATTATTCATTCAGGTAGGTCCTGAGCTTCCTCCTTGGCTAGGCCAAGTTTCTAGATGCCTTGCAGTGAAACATTGAAATAGAAATTACAGACTGTGTTGCATAAAGGAAGCGCCAATCTTCTCTTCATTGACACAGTTTTTTGTTTGTTTTGTTTTTGTTTTTTGTTTTTTTGTTTTGTTTTTTTTTTTGAGACAGAGTCTTGCTCTGTCACCCATGCTGGAGTGCAGTGGCACGATCCCGGCTCACTGCAACCTCCGCCTCCCAGGGTCAAGTGATCTCCTGCTTCAGCCTCCTGAGTAGCTGGGATTACAGGTGCCTGTTACCGTGCCCGGCTAATTTTTTGTATTTTTTGTAGAGACGTGGTTTCACCATGTTGGTCACGCTGGTCTCAAACTCCTGACCTCAGGTGATCCGCCTGCCCCGGCCTCCCAAAGTGCTGGGGTTACAGGTGTGAGCCACCAAGCCCGGCCCATTGATACAGTTTTGCTAGAGGATGTCGCCATGTGTGTTAGAGAGAAAAAGATACTTTAGTACCAGGGTAAAGATGAAACCCGTCAGCACTCCCCACCCTCACACACAAACATGCATTAACCAGTCAAATCATGGGGCCGACTTTTACTTTAATTTATTTAATTATTCAATTTATTTGTTGTTATTTAATTTATTTATACATTAAATGAAATCAATGTATTTGGGTAATTAGACCACCTATTCAAAGAACCTCAATTTTGCTAGTTTAGAAAATTAGAATATGACTATTCCTTTTTTTATAAATTAAACTTTATCTTATAAAAGTAAGAAAACATTTAAGAGTATCTCAGTACAAACTGTGGCAAAGATGTATCAGCTATGCGCTTTATGTACTTCTCAGCCTTCCTACAACTCCACACAGCCCCTAAGGACAAATTAGTGAAAGAATATTTTGAGAGTGGAAGCTATGATATCATCACAGTACCGTTGAATCACATCTCACTGATGTAAAAACACTTGCCAGGGTTGGCTAATTGAAAAGTAGATGATGACTAACAGTCTATTTGGGAGGCGTCCCCTAGTTAGTACAGACATTGTATTGCCCCACATGTTGAGAAGCCTTGAACACTACTGTGACAGTTTACCCACATACAGAAGAAATTGCTTCAAATATTTTATCAAAGGCTGGCAAATTTTAGATTCAGGTAATTTTTGTTTTGTTTTGTTTTGAGACAGAGTCTCGTTCTGTCACCCAGGCTGCAGTGCAGTGGTGCGATCTTCGGTCACTGCCACCTCCTGGGCTCAAACGATCCTTCTGACTCAGCCTCCTCCCAAGTAGCTGGGATTACAGGTGCACACCACCATGCCTGGCTAATTTTTGTATTTTTTGTAGAGACAGGGCCTTGCCCTGTTGCCCAGGCTGGTCTCAAACTCCTGGGCTTAAGTGATCCTCCGGTCTCAGCCTCCTAAAGTGCTGGGATTACAGATGTTGGCCACTACGCGCAGCCTAGATCAATGTTTGGATTACATTTATTATTATTTTATGTTTGCTAAAGCAAGAACTCCATTTACTGACCACCCTTACCTTGTTAAAATATTAGGCATATGTCAGTACTTACTGGTGACACTGTATAGCACTTTTACTACTTAATTGATGAACGTGATTATTTGCAGCTTTATTTAATTTGAATCAATATCCCTATGAAATGCTGGAGGAAATATCTGATTTAAAGCTCATGTTCTTTCTGAGCCCAGTAGTTTGGAATCATGGTGTCTCCAATGAATAGACTGTAACTTTGTGAAAATCACTTTATAACTCTGGGCCTCTGCTTTATTTAGTGATCATGTTTTCATCACTAAAAAGGGATTGATTATAGTACTTTACTCATAGGATTGACGTGAGGATTAAAGGAGATGACTCGTGTAAGGCCTTCAGAACCAGGCCTGCCACATAGTAAGCACACTCTAAATATTTCTGTTCAGTGGACTAAGAGTGAACTGAACTGTCCTTAGGTGAATGTTGAAGACACAGTCAATGGAAATGGCTCCTCCGGGAAAAGAAGAAAATGGAAATGTATGAGCAGAGTGAGAATAAAAACACTATTCTGTCTTCAAGAATCTTTCTACGTCTATCCATAATTACTTCTAACTATCCCGCCATTTCCTTTCTTCCTGAAACATTGTATAACCGAAGGGGACTCTGGCATTTCTGATGGCATCAGCAAGGGTGGTATGAGGGGAGGACAATACTGGAGTTAACTAGATCATCTGGAGATGGCTTAGTCCAATGTTAGCCACAGGCCCCTGACGCTCAGCTGCAAGTTCCATGATTCACTTCATGGTAACTGTGGATAAGTTAGAAGGTGGGGAGGTGTGTAGGAACTTGTGTGCAGCTCCCTGAAAGTCATGACATGTTCCCAACCTTAGAGCGCGTTGTCTCACAACTTAAACCAAAGCATGGAGTTGTTTGGTTGCTGTTATTTTTCTCATTTTATGATGAGTTGGGAATAAGTGTATCAGTCACATGTTTACTTAGATGACCCTTAGATTCCTGCTTATAAAATCAGAATATTGTACATAACTCTATGCAGAGCCTCGAAAGTGAAGTAACCCTTTTTAATTTCATAATATTTCATTCATTTAATTACTTAATTTTCACTTTTTTTAACTTTTTAAGTTTGCTCCTTTGTCTGAGATCTAAGTGAGTCTATTTCTGATCTCTCTATTCTTTTTAATTGATTGCTATCAGTTAATTAACCACTATTACACTGTTTTATTTACTATAGTATTACAGTATACTCTAGCATGTCAGAATCCGTATTATGCTACAGTTTCACCCAGCAACTTTTAAAGTAAATATTTTTTAATTGAGGAGAAAGAAATTCAGAGTGCCCTACAGAAATATTGCAGAACTGCCACGAAATTTCATTTCACTGAAAAATCTAGAATTTGTATTTTTGCTAAGTGGCCTTTTCCCCAATATTTTATTGTATAAATAATAATTATGAGCATTGCTAACATTTATTAAGCACATGCATTGTAGTTAAGTTTTGCACATGTGATAAAGAGTAACTTTTCATTATAACTACATTTCCTCATTTGACATTAGGGAACAGAGACACGTAGGATGAGTCATTTGCCTCAAATCATGTAGCAGTTTCAAAGTCTAAAATCTAAATTCAAAGCACCTCTGTCTATTTCTCAATTCCTCCTTTATAAATATCACTGGATGATTAAACTTTCTACTGGCATTTGTAAGGCTTAGCACATTTAAAATTGGTCCTTTACACCTCTATTATAGTCCGTTTCAAAAGAAAAGAGACAATATTTGTAATTTTGAATAAAATTATACTATCATCTTTGCCCACTTACGCATGCAACAAGTATTCATTGTGTCCAATTTATGCCCAGCTCTCTCATGTATTTTTATTGTGTCTAAATATAAGGTATTGCAATTACTTCGAAGCAGATAAGCACACTAAGTGGTCATTGTTTCCAGCCTGCTGAACTTCCTGAGGAACAAAAAGCAGATGCAGTGAGCAAAGCAATCCATTTCGGTCACGCTGAAAATTTGCAGATTTAAAAGAGAGAAGCCTTAAAATTCAGATAAGCAAATATGATGATGGAAAAGGAAACAAAGGGTTGGTAGGAGGTGCAGAGAGGCATTTACTCAGAGCTCACAGCTGCTCTGTCCCCAGGTCATCAGTACGGACTCTGGTCCTCACTGAGTGGAGACCAAGAGTGGACTGAGAGAGCAGTGCTACCTTTCTCGAGAGAGACTTAAGTGGAGCAAAGATCAAGTGTTTTTACAGGCCAGACTTGGCCGTTACTCAAGGCCCTGCTGTCTTCAAGATAGCAGCGTGCTTCCAAAGGCCACCAGCCATCAGTTAGCACGGTGGGGCTCAGGGAGCCTCGGTCCTAGCGTGCGCCACTCAGCACAAATGAACAAGGGCACAGTGCTCGGAACCCACTGAAATCTTCAAAGAGATCCCTACAAGAGCAGTTCATTGAAACTGGAAGAAAAATATAGCATTTACACAGAGAATATCTGGAAGAAAAGTAGAGAAAATTAAAATTGAGATGGTTGCTTTTTGTAAATAGATCTTACTGTTTTATTGCTTTCTCAATAAAGGCTCTGCTTCCATAATTTATTTGAGAGGCAAG